>NC_000008.11:39254041-39557072 GCF_000001405.40 Homo sapiens
GCGATGGATGAAAATAGCTCAAAGATAGACTCATATATGCTGGCTCCAGCATGTCACTGGAGGGGTCACATTTTCATTATAATTTAAGTATGCATTTTTGAAATTGCATCGTAAATTTGTAGGTAAACATTTCAAGGTGTCAAATTTTCTTGATGCAAATATTGAGAGCCTCACTTTATAGTTCTTTTTTTTTTTTTTTTGCTTTGTGTGTGTGTCTGTGTTGTAGTCTAAGAAACCAAACATTTGATATGTGAGACTGTCGCTCTAAATAAACAAAATTACACTAGATTATGGTACAAAAGTAAGCTTGATGCTCACCTTCTCTGAGAAAATATTTTAAAACAATCATTTAATTTTTCAAAATGATCCTAGGTGTGTGATTCCAGAAACAAGTGCCATTGTTCGCCAGGCTATAAGCCTCCAAACTGCCAAATACGTTCCAAAGGATTTTCCATATTTCCTGAGGAAGATATGGGCAAGTATTTGTCTCTTTAAATACCCATTTAATAAAATTCTCAAATTGCTTATCTTCACTAAAACAAAGTTCGATTTTTCCACTTACAAGGCAACTGATATTTGTAATAAAAAGGTAATCAGAATTCTCTCAAGGAATGGAAACCAAACATGCCATCTTAATCTTGCTCTCTTTTCTTTATAATTAACTAATCAATTAATTTTTTTTATTTCAATAGGTTTTTGAGGAATAGGTGGATTTTGGTAACATGGATAAGTTCTTTAGTGGTGATTTCTGAGATTTTGGTGCAGCCATCACCCAAGCAGTGTATACTGTACCCAATGTGTAGTCTTTTATACCTCACCTACTCCTATCCTTCCCCTCAATACCCCAAAGTCCATTGTATCATTCTTATGCCTTTGTGTCCTCATAGCTTAGCTCCCACTTATGAGTGAGAACATATGATATTTGGTTTTCCATTCTTCAAGTGAAGAGTTACTTCACTTAGAATAATGGTCTCAAACTCCATCCAGGTTGCTGCGAATGCTATTATTTTGTTCCTTTTAATGGCTGAGTAGTATTCCATGGTGTATATATACATCACACTTTCTTTATTCACTCACTGATTGATGGGCATTTGGGCTGGTTCCATATTTTTGCAGTTGCAAATTGTGCTGCTATAAACATTTGTGTTAGCGTCTTTTTATGTAATGACTTTTATATAATGACTTCCTCTGGGTAGATTTCCAATAGTGGGATTGCTGGATCAAATGGTAGATCTACTTTTGGTTCTTCAAGAAATTGCCATACTGTTTTTCGTAGTGGCTGTGCTAGTTTACATTCCCACCAACAACGTAAAAGTGCTCCCCTTTAAGCACATCCATGCCAACATCTATTATTTTTTGATTTTTAAATTATGACCATTCTTGCAGGAGTAAGGTGGTATTGCATTGTGGTTTTGATTTACATTTCCCTGATCATTAGTGATGTTGAGCATTTTTTCATATGTTTGTTGGCCATTTGTATATCTTCTTTTGAGAGTTACCTATTCATGTCCTTAGCCCATGTTTTGATGGAATTCCTTTTTTTCTTGCTGATTTGTTTGGGTTCCTTATAGATTCTGGATATTAGTTCTTTGTCAGATGCATAGTTTGTGAAGATTTCCTCCCACTCTGTGGGTTATCTGTTTACTCTGCTGATTATATCTTTTGCTTCGCAGAAGCTTTTAAATTTAATTAAGTCCCTTCTATTTATCTTTGTTTTTATTGCATTTGTTTTTGGGTTCTTGCTCATGAACGCTTTGCCTAAGCCAATGTCTAGAATAGTTTCCTGATGTTATATTCTAGAATTTTTATGGTTTCAGGTCTTAAATTTAAGTCTTTGATCCCTCTTGAGTTGATGTTTGTATAAGGTGAGAGATGAGGATCTGGTTTAATTCTTCTACATATGGCTTGCCAGTTATCCCAGTGCCATTTGTTGAATAGGGTGTCCTTTCCCCATGTTATGTTTTTGTTTGCTTTGTTGAAGATCAGTTGGCTGTACGTACTTGGCTTTATTTCTGGATTCCCTATTCCATTCCATTGGTCTCTGTGTCTATTTTTATATCAGTACCATGCTGTTTTGGTGACTTTAGCCTTATTGTCTATGGCCATACCAGCCTGAATGTGCCCGATCTTGTCTTGCTCTTTTTTCTAACATTAAAATATCATAATTCACGCTGAATACCTTTTAAAATTTCTCTTTACTGATATCATTGACTTTATCTTTTAGAATATTTTCAACCTCTCTTCCTCAGCTTTATGACTGATCCTGTGACCTCAGCTCTAAACAAATGACATTTTCTCTGTGTCTAGTACTGTTACTGTGTTTCTGTTACAGAAGAAATGAAATAGAAGACAAGATTTTACTCTGAAGGAGTTTATCATTTAAATCAGAAAAATCCATCAATTTCTGCTTAGGAGATGACAGAAGTGATGCTGGCATATTATTCTGTTTGTGCCCCACAGCTTCCATTTCTGTCATTAATTCATTTATTGAGTTAGCAAATGTTTACTGAACTCTTAATATATGCCAGGTCCAGGTGCTGGTCTACACACTGGGGATGTACGGTGAGCAAAATGAAGTTCTTCTCCTCATGGAGTTTAGAGAATATGTTTAGGTCTATGTATCCAGTGATAGCAAGGGACAGAATTAGGATTAGGAATCAATTCTTCTAATTTTTATGCCAGTGCCCTTTTAGTAGTATTGCAATGACCCCATTTACAACATGATCCCCAAGGCCAAAAGCCAACAATCTACCAAAGAAAAATAAGATATACACAAATACACTGAATTCCTTTGATAATGCACCTTGTAAGAGTGCATTTTTGGATAACCATGCAATTACACAATCCCACGTTGTATATCATTGAATTTTTTTGTCCCTACTTAGAGGGTTATAGTGAGATTTTGCTGTAGCTGCTGTGAGACTTGAATACTTTTGAACTTTCCAAAACTTGGTTTCCATGCTTTTAGAATGAAACGTTGTACAGGTAGCCCCAAGGATTATGATTACAATTCTATAATGATTTTTTCCATGTTCCTTGAATAACAATACAAATTCAGAAGATTTTAATGAATGTGTTGCAACTTGAAAGTAAAAGTAGATAGTTTAATTTTTTTGTTTTTTTTTTTTTGTATTTCTGTTTTTAGGTTCAATCATGGAAAGAGCATCTGGGAAGACTGAAAACACCTGGCTTCTAGGTTTCCTCATTGCTCTTCCTATTCTCATTGTAACAACCGCAATAGTTTTGGCAAGGAAACAGTTGAAAAAGTGGTTCGCCAAGGAAGAGGAATTCCCAAGTAGCGAGTAAATTGCATTTGTGTTCTGAAGTTAAACATTAGTACCATTTGAATCTAGTTATATGTAAGACAATATCACGAGCAGTAGCAATACTTTACATATCACTGGGATTTTGAGTATTACATCAATATGTCATTTAATTTTATGAGGTAGCTGTGAATACCCATTTTTAAGACACAAAGATTTGGAAGTGTAATTTACATAGTTTGCCAAAGTCATTGAACTGCTAGTTGAGAGAGGAAGAAGTCAAATGTTTACGTAATATCTGTTCTTTTCTTATCAAAGGGGATGATCTGTATCATCTACAACAGAAGTATTTATTAAAAATGCAGATTTCAGGGCCTTACTACAGACTAAATATTTTAATTCACATTGCTGGCTCATATAAGAAGTAATTTTAAAAATATTCTTTGGGTTAAATTTTCAGAAGGGAAATTTGTAATTTAGATTATTACATTTTTATTTTTCAAGAAATAATTCAAACACTAAGACAGAGAACAACATGACAAACATCCTCTTGCCCACCATGGGAAATAAACAGATATTAATATTTTTCTTGTTTCTCTTATAAAATAAGCCATTGTATTTGCAGCTGCAATTCCTTCTGGTATGATCCCCTTCCCTCCCTGTAGAGGATGTCTACACTGAATGTTTGTGTATCTTACATGTTTTTAATACACGTGGCATTATCCATATCCCATAACCTACCTAGTATTGTTTTATGTATAATTTTAAATAGCTATACTTTCTCTGCAGATGCATTTCTTTTTCAATTTTGGTTTGTTTGTTTTGTCTTTTTTTTTTCTTTTTCATGAGCAGTCCGCTCAGAGGTGTTTTTATTTTGTTAGTAGTTTGAAACATGTAACTTTTGGTTTCATTGTGGTCTCTATTTCTATTGTTTTTTATATCAAGTTTTGCTCTTTTTCCTCCTTTCTGGTCTTTTTACCTTTGCTCTGTTGTAACTCTAGATTTCTTGATTTTAATGCTTTCTTTATTAATTTTCAACCCTTCTTATTTTCTAAAATAAGAAATACTTTAATAGCAAAAACCTTCTCCTTAACATATATCATTTCCTTTATACTCTCCAGTTTTTAAATGATAGTCGACATTCAGTTAAAAAAATTTGAAAAATCTAGCAGGATTTCTTGTTTAAATAATGAATCAATTGTAATCTTTAGTTTTCAATTATATGATTTATTTTCATTGTTTTAAAAATAATTTTCTAATTTTATTAGCTTATTTTGAGAAACTTGTCTATGTGGTTCTCTTAAATGTTGGAACAAAAAATGAAGTAAATTTTTATAAATGTGTAAGCTTGATATGTGTCCTCCAATGTTTTTAGGACCAACTTTTTAATTGTGTTGTTTCAAATCATTTTTATACATACTGGGTTTTTTTCCTGTCCGTTTGATACTTTGTCTTCTGTGAGAGGCAAAGTAAAATTTTCAGTGGGTTGTAGCTTTCCCTCTGATTGTTGAAATTTTCGCTTCAGATATTCTGAGGCAGTGACTAAATGCATAATGTTTATTTTAGTTAAATTTTCTTGATGTATTTTCCTTTAATCATTACTAATAATATCTTAAATACAATTTTCACTGTTTTAGATTGCTATATCAACTTTCTCTTTAAAAATGACGTTTACCTGGTACAACTTTTTTCGTTTTTTTCTCAATCTGTCTTTGCATTTAGCTGGTGTCTTATAAACAGCCTTTATATGAAATGCACTAATGGAGTTCATTATGCTCATATGCTTAATCCATGATGACATATGTTTAGGCTGAAATTTGCCATCCTACTTTTTTCCTATTTACCATGTTTTTTGTTTTTTTTTTCCTTTTTCTATCATCTATTTTCTTGGTTTCATTTTTCTTTCTTTTTTGAGACGAAGCTTTGCTCTTGTTGCCCAGGCTGGAGTGCAGAGGCATGATCTTGGCTCACTGCAACCTTAGCTCGCCGGGTTCAAGTGATTCTCCTGCCCCAGCCTCCCCAGAAGCTGGTATTACAGGCGTGCACCACCACGCCTGGCTAATTTTTTGTATTTTTAGTAGAGACTGGGTTTCTCCATGTCAGCAGCTGCTCTCAAATGGTTTCATTTTTCTGTTCTCTTTTTTTTTCTTTAACTCTGGACATTTTTGTATTCTGTTTTTGTTTTAGTGATTTTCTTTAAGTTTTAGTATTTGTAGTTAATGTTATATAATGTCTAAATTTAATCATTACATATAGTCTTCTTGGAAATAACCCAAGGACTTCAGTCATTTAACTCCTTCCATTTTCAATGTTTGTCATTTGACTTTCAAATTTCTCCCAAATAAGTCAGTGTTATTTTTGTTATTATCATCTTTATGTTTAGTCAGTGAATACTAGGATTTTCCAGTATATTTCCCAGTCTTACTCACCATTCCTTTTCTAAAAATTGTTTTGTTTTGAAATAATTTAAAGACAAAAAGTTGCAAAAATTGCACAGGGCTGTCATGTACACTTTGCCTAGCTTTTTCCATTGATAACATCTTACATGAACACTGCATTTCCACAGCCAGTATAATGGTATCGGTACAATACTTTTAATACAACTAAAGATCTTATTCAGATTTGATAGTGTTGTATGCATTCATTTATGTGTGTGTATAGTATTACCACATTTTATCATGTGATTCGTACCAACACCACAATCATAATTCCTGTTGGAATCCTACTTTTTCATTCTAGGTTCAATTATCTTTTTTCCCTTAGATTTACTGTGGTATGATTGACAAATAAAAATTGATGATTTGCCTGATATATGTATATGCTGTAAAATGATTATCACAATTCCTGTAATTAACACATCCATCACCTCATATAATTACCTCTTTTTGTGTATGTATTGAGAACACTTAAGATCTACTCCCTTAGCAAATGTCAAGTTTTTTACGTATAAGGTCATGTCATCTGAAAACAGAGACAACTTCTTCCTATTCAATTTGGATGCCCTTTTTTTCTTATTTCTTGTCTAATTCCTGTGGCTAGGCCTTCTAGTACTATGTTGAATAGAAATGGTGAGAGGGGCTTCTTGTTTTATTCTTGATCTTAGGCCAAAACTTTTATTGATAGCTTTTCACTGTTAAGTTTAATGTAGCTGTGGGCTTATAATACATGGCTTTTGTTATGTTGAGGTATATTTCTTCTATGACAAACTGTTGCTAGTTTTAATTAAATATGTTGAATTTTGTTTCCTGTATCTGTTGAGTGTATTTTCAACCATCCTTGCATCACAAATATAAATCCCACTTGATCATGGTGTATCATCCTTATAATGTTCTGTTAAAGTCAGTTCACTAGTATTTTGTTGAGGATTTTTACATCTATATTAATCAAGGATATTGGCCTATTATTTTCTTTTGTAATGTCCTTGTCTAACTTTGGTATCAGAGTAATTCTGGCCTTATAAAATGTGTTTGAAAGTGTTCCCTACTCTTCAGTTTTTTGGAGGAGTCTGAGAAGGATTAGTATTAATTCTATTATAAAAGTTTGGTAGAATTTACCAGTGAAACCATCTGGTTCTGTTTTTTTCTTTGTTGGGAGATTTTTTTTTAATTGCAAGTTTTATTTTTTCATATATTTTTAAATTTTCCAAATAACAATTGTACATATCCATGGGGCACACAGGGATGTTTCAGTATATGTAATGTATAGTGATCAGATCAAGGTAATTAGCAGATATATCATCTCAAATATTTATCATTTCTTTGTATTGGGAGGAGTCAGTATCCTCCTTCTAGCTATTTGAAACTATATATTATTGTTAACTATAGTCATCCTACAGTGATATAAAGAATTAGAACTTTTTTCGCATATCTCGCTGTAACTTTGTAGACTTTAGCAAATCTTTCCTTATCCCTCCCTTCCCCTTAAACTTCACAGCCTCTAGTATCTTCTATTCTACATTTTACTTCTGAGATCAACTTTTTTTTAGCTTCCACATATAAATGAGAACATGCAGTGTTTAAGTTTCTGTTCCTGGCTTATTTCACTTAACAACATACTTCAGTTGCATCTGTGTTGTGGTGAATGACAGGATTTTATTTTCGTGGCTAAATGATATTCCATTGTGTATCTACACCACATTTTCTTTATCCATTTGTTGTTGGAAACAGGTTGATTCCGTATCTTGACTATTATAAATAGTGCTGCAGTAGACATGGCAGTGCAAATGTCTCTTCGATACAATGGTTTCCTTTCCTTTGGATAAATACCCAGTGGTGTGATTGCTGGTTCATATGGTAGTTGCATTTGTTGTTTTTTGAGGAGCTGCCCTGCTGTTCTCCATAGTGGCTATCCTAGTTTATATTCCCATCAACAGTGTCCCTTTTCTCTGCATTCTTGCCAGCATTTGTTATTTTTTTTTGTCTTTTTGATAAAAGCCATACTAACTGGGGTGCGAGATTACCTCATTGTGGTTTTGATTTGCATTTCTATGATTATTAGTGATGTTGAACATTTTTTCTCATATTTGTTGGCCATTTGTGTGTCTTCTTTTGAGAAATGTCTGTTGAGTTTATCTGCCCATTTTTAAATCTAATTGTTTGCTTTTTTCCTGTTGAGATAGTTGAAATCATTGTATATTCTTGGTATTAATCCAGCAGTTTTCAAATATATTCTCATATTCTGTAGGTTGTCTTTTCACTATGCTGATTGTTTCTTTTGCTGTGCAGACACTTTTTAATTTGATATAATCCCATTTGTTTATTTTTGCTTTTGTCACCTGTGCTTTTGAAGTCTTATTTATAAAATCTTTTCCCAGGCCAATGTCCTGATCATTTCTCCTATGTTTTCTTCTGTGAGTTTCATTATTTTGAATTTTATATGTAGGACTTTGATCCGTTATGAGTTTTTTTTTTTTTCTGGTATAGATTGAGAGGTAGGGGTCCAGTTTCATTCCTATGCATGTGGATATCCAGTTTTCCCCAGGGCTATTTAATGAAGAGACTGCCCTTTCTCCAATGAATATTCTTGGCACCTTGTCAAAATTCAATTGGCTGTAGATATGTGGATTAATTTCTGTGTACTCTATTCTGTTCCATTAGTGTAAGTGTCTGTTTTCATGCCAGTATCATGCTGTTTTGGTTTCTCAGCTTTGTAGTATATTTTGAGTCTGGTAGTACAATTCTTCCAGCTTTACTCTTTTTTCTCAGGATTGTTTGGCTATTCAGGGCCTTTTGTAGTTGGGAGTTTTTGATTATTCCTGCAATCTTCTACCTCTTATTTGATATGTTCAGATGTTCCCCTCCCTTCCTACCTTCCTCCTTCCCTCCATCCCTCCCTCCATTCCCCTCTTTCTCTCTTCCCCTCTTTCTCCCTCTCTCTCTTTCACTCCCTCTCTCTCCTTCTCTCTTTCTTTCCTTCCATCCTTTCTTTTTCTCTTGCTCTGTCGCCCAGGCTGGAGTGCAGTAGTGTTTTAGGCTCACTGCAATTTCCCCCTCCCATGTTCAAGTGATTCTTGGGCCTCAGCCTCCAGAGTAGCTGGGACAACAGGTGCGTGCCACCATGCCTGTCTATTTTTTTTTAATTTTTAATACAGATGGAGTTTCACCATGTTGGCCAGGCTGGTCTCAAACTCCTGGCCTCAAGTGATCTGCCCACCTTGGCTTTGCAAAGTGCTGGGATTATGTGTGAGGCACCAGGCTTGGTGAGGTGTTCTGTTTACGATTCAGTCCTGATATGTTGTATCTTTCTTGGAATTTACCCATTTCTTCTATTTATTCAGTTTGCATATATTTGCTGTAGGTTCCATTTTATTCTGGAGGAAGTACATTACAGTGATGTTCTACATGTAATAATCTGTTTGATGGTTATTACTGAATTTTTTTGCTTTATGTTCAATATTAATTATAGGTTATATGGGTATGGAACTTTAGGTGAACAGTTATTTTTGTAAGGCTTTTAAGGATATGCCTTTGAATTTTAGCATGCACTGTTTATGGGATGTCTGCTATCAGTCTAATCAATTCATTTTTTATCTTTATACTTAAACTTTATTTTTCTATAAGTTATGAAAATTTTCAGCCCTTATCTCTGCAATAATTGACTTCTCCATTCTGCCTCTTTTTCTCCTTCTGAACTTCCTGTACTTTAGTGTCCCCATTCTAGCCTCCATGGTTGTGGTGGTGGTTGTTCTCTATTTCCTCCTTTTTCTTCATCTTCTTTTCTTCCTTTTCATTGTTTTTCTTTTGCGATTGGAATAGGGCTTTTAAAAACTGGGATATAATTTACATATCCTGAAATTCATTATTTTTTAGTGTGTGCAGTGTTATGAGTTTAGCAAATATATACACATACCACTAGCTCAATAAAATGTAGAGCAGTTCTGTCATCCAGAAAATTTTGTCTCACCCCACTCGAGCTCTGGGCACTGGTGGATCTGTTTTCTGTGCCTACAGTTTTGCCCATCAGAACTTTGTATAAATGGATTAATACATTATGCAGTCTTTCCAGTCTGGTTTCTATACCATAGCTAATATATTTGAAATCCATCCATGTTATTATGTGTATCAATAGTTTGCTCTCTTTTAAATCTATTGTTTTATTGATATATAGTTGATATACAATAATTTACACATATTTTCAGTGTATAATTTGATGTTTTGATAATTTGAAAAGTAACACCCATTAAACCATCGACATAATCAAGATGATAAAGGTATCTGTAACCCTCAAGAAATTTCTTATTTCCCTTTGTAATTCCCTTCCTTAGCCTTTCCCTCCCATTTCCTGTCTATCCCCAGATTACCACTTTGTTTTTCTTTTTCAAATTTTAATTTAGGTTCAGGGGGTACATGTTCATGTTTGTTACAGGGTTAAATTGTGTGTCACTGGGGTTTGGTATATAAATGATTTCATCCCCCAGGTAGTGAGCATAATACTTGTAACTGATCTGTGTAAGGTTTCAGTTTCTTCATGGTTCAATCATGGTAGGTTGTGTGTTTCTAGGTATTCATCTATTTCTTCTAGGTTTTCTAGTTTGTGTGTATAGAGGTGTTTGTAATAGTTTCTGAAGATTTTTAAAAATTTCTGTGGGGTCAGAGGTAATGTCACTTTGGTCATTTCTTAGTGTGGTTATTTGGATCATCTCTTTTTAAATTAATCTAGCTAGTGGTCTATCAATCTTATTTGTTCCTTAAAAAAGAAACTTTCGGTTTTATTGATCTTTTTCCTGGATTATTGTGTCTCAATTTCATTCAGTTCAGTTTGGATTTTGCTATTTATTTTCTTCTAGCTTTGGGGTTGGTTTGCTCTTGTTTTTCTAGGTCTTCTAGGTGCGATGTTAGGTTGTTAACCTGAGATCTTTCTAACTTTTTGATGTATGCATTTAGCACTATAAACTTTCCTCTTAACACTACTTTAGCTGTGTCCCAGAGTTTCTGTTATGTTATATGTTTGTTTATATTAGTTTCAAATAATTTTTTTATTTCTGCCTTAATTTCGTTATTTACCAAAAAGTCATTCAGGAGCAGGTTGTTTAATTTCTACGTGATTGTATGGTTTTGAAATTTCTTGGCATTGATTTCTGTTTTTATTGCACTGTGGTCTGAGAGTGTGATTGGTATGATTGGTATGTGCTGATGTGAAGAATTTACATTGTGGTGTTGTTGGGTGGAGTATTTTGTAGATGTCTGTTAGGTCTACTTGGTCAAGTGCCGCGTTAAGTCCCAAATACCTTTGTTAGTTTTCTGCCTCAATGATCTGCATAACACTTTCAGGGGGTGTTGAAGTCTCCCACTGAAATAGTCTCCCACACTATTATTGTGTGGTTCTCAACATCTCTTCGTAGGTCTCTAGGAACTTGTTTTATGAATCCAGGTGTTACACTGTTGGGCCCATATATATTTAGGATCATTAAGTCTTCTTGTTGAATTGAACCCTTTATCATTATGTAATGCTCTTCTTTGTCCTTTTTTATTGTTTTTGGTTTAAAGTTTGTTTTATCTTAAATAAGAAAGCAACTTCTGCTCTTTTTTATACTTTGTTTGCTTGATGGATCTTTCTCCTTCCCTTTACTTTGAGCTTATGGGTGTCATTGCAGGTGAGATGGTCTTTTGAAGACAGCATGTAGTTGGATCTTGCTTCTTTATACACTTTGCCACTCTGTGTCTTTAAGTGGGGCATTTATCCCATTTACATTCAACGTTAATATTGTTATGTGCAGATTTGATCCTGTCATCATGTGTTAGCTGGTTGTTATGTAGATTTGATTATATATTTGCTTTATAGTGTCAGGGGGCTATGCGTGTAAGTATAATTTGTGGTGGCAGGTAGCTGGTTATTAAGTAGATTTGATTATATATTTGCTTTATAGTGTCAGGGCTAAGCATGTAAGTATGATTTTGTGGTGGCAGGTAGCTGGTTGTTATATAGATTTGATTAGATATTTGCTTAATAGTGTTGGGGGGCTACGCATGTAAGTATGATTTTGTGGTGGCAGGTAATGATCTTCCCTTTCCATGTTTTGCTTTCCCTTAAGGACCTGTTATAAGGTAGGTGTGGTGGTAGCAAATTCCCTTAGCATTGACTTGTTTGAAAAATATTTTATTTTTCCTCTGCTTATGAAGCTTAGTTTGGCTGGATATACAGTTTTTGGTTGAAATTTCCTTTCTTTAAGGATGCTGAATATAGGTCCCCAATCTCTTCAGACTTGTAAGGTTTCTGCAGAAAATTCTGCTGCTAGCCTGTTGGGGTTCCCTTTGTAGGTGACTTGCCCCTTCTCCCAAGCTGCCTTTAAGATTTATTCTTTCACATTGCCTTTGGAGAATCTGATGACTATGTGTCTTGGGGATGGTCATCTTGTATGGTATCTCACAGAGGTTCCCTGAATATCCTGAATTTGCATGTCAACATCTCTAGTGAGGTTGGGAAAATTTTTGTGGAAGTATTCTCCAATATGTTTTCCAATTTGCTTGCTTTCTCTTCATCTGTTTCAGGAATGCCAGCGAGTCCCAGGTTTGGTCTCTACGTAATCACATATTGCTCTGATATTTTGTTCATTTAAAAAATTATTTTTTCTTTTTTCTAGTCTGCCTGTGTTGTTTCAAAGAAATGGTCTTCAAGCTCTGAGATTCTTTCCTCAGCATGGTCTATTCTGTTATAATGCTTTCAGTTGCTTTATGAAATTCCTGTAGTGAATTTCTCATTCCCAGAAGTTCAGTTTATTTTTCTCTTAAAATGGCTATGCCATCTTTTAACTCTTCGACCATGTTGCTGTGTTCCTTGGCTTGAGTTTCGACCTTCTGTATGTCGATGAGCTTCCTTGCTATCCAGAATTAGTATTATATGTCTGTCATTATAGCCATTTCAGTCTGGTTAAGAACAATAGCTGGAGAGCTATTGTGGTTGTTTGGTGTTAAAAAGACACTGTGTCTTTTTGAGTTGTCAGAGTTCTTGCATTGGTTCTTTCTCATTTGTGTGGGCTGATGTTCCCTTAATCTTTGAAATTGCTGTCTTTTGTATGGAGCTTTCTGCTTTTACATTCTCTGATACCTTAAGGGTTTCACTGTGGTATAAGTTAGGCTTAGGCAATTGGCTTCATTTCTGGATGCTTTCAGGGGGCCAAGGCTCAAATTAGCATTCCTGGGGTATGTGCTCTATCCCTGGGGGGTTGGGACCTGGCCTGTTTCTTTGTTCTCTGTCCCCTTAAGGTTAAACCCCTGTTGCACTGGAGAGGCCAAGGTATTCCCAGTCTGCTGGCAACAACCCTCCAATGGGGGCTGCCAGCAAAAGCACTGGGGTGGGCCAGTGGTGGGTCCATGTATATGTGCGTGCAGGCAGGGTAGGTGGGGGTTCCCCCATTTGTGCATGCTGGCAGGGTGGTGAGGGTTCTGTGTGCCCATGCGTACTGGTGAGGGGGTGGAGAGAGGCTGTGCTGGTGGGGAAAGGCTGCAGGCTGGTATCCCAGACTACTACTAATCTGCTTCTGTCACTACAGTTTACAGTTCCTTTTCTAGAATTTTATATAAATGAGATCATATGATTGTATGTACTTTGTCTGGATTATTTACATCACCATAATTATTTTGATATTTATACATGCTTTTGTGTGTGTCAATAGTTTGTTCCTTTTTATTGCTGAGAACTACTCAGCTGTATGAATATACCTTAATTTTTTTAAATCTATTTATCTGTTGATGAATATTTGGGTTATTTCCAGTTTATAGGTGTTATAAATGAAGCTGTTGTGAACCGCTGGAAACAAATGCTCAGTGCCGCAAAGAAGAACCAGCACTGAGACAAAGGATCTCTCAGCAAGGCAAATTTACTTCTGCAGAAGGGTGCTTCTCATAGTTCTGGTTGCCATGAGAGCACCCCAAACAGAGGAAAGCAGGGGTTTTTATTTCTAACACAGCTTGTCCCTGCTACTGTGTCATGCCTCCATTGGCTGGAGTTGGACTGCACAATCTAAGCTGAACCCGGTTGGCTAACTTGAAAAGTGCAGGAATGCGGTTACACTGGTGGGAAGGTGGGAAGATCAGTTTCGGCAGGAGTAGCCATTGCAATGGGAAAGGTAATTTACAGAGTGGTTAGCAGATGTGGAATGTGGGCTCTATAGATAAAGACTGGCAGGAAGGTTGTTTACCAGGGCAGGCGGACACAGTGAGTAAAGAAGTCTGGCCTTGAAAGCAGGGTACAAAGGACAAGCAAACTTAAGCAAACTAAATCTTTGAAGAAGAATTTCTTACTGTATTTAACATGAACATTCAGGTACAAGTCTCTATGTGAATATATGCTTTCCTTCTCTTGGTTAATACCCAGGAATAGAATAATTGGGTAATAAAGTAAGTGTATGTTTAAATTCTAAAGAAAGAGCTATGTTTTCCAAAGTGGTTTTGTCATCTTGTATTCCAGCCACTAGTGTATGAGAGTTGTAGTTTCTCCACATTCTTGTCAATATGTGGTCTCATTTTTTTTAACTTTACCAATTCTGATATTGTGTAGTGGTATCTCATTATAATTTGAATTTCTCTAATGGTTAATCATGTTGACAATTGTTTCATATGGTTATTTGCCATCTGTATACCTTCTCTGGAGAAATGTCTATTCAAATTATGGGTTATTTTCCTTTTTATCATATTTTTCAAATCTTTTGATCACTTTTGAAATGGGTTTGTTGTATTTCGAGTGTTCTGAATATAAGTCCATCATTATATATGTAATTTGCAAACATGTTATCTCAGTCTAAGGCTTGTCTTCTAATACTTTTAGCAATCTTTAGAGCAAATGTTTTAAATGTTTAATAAAACCAGTGTATCAATTTCTTTTTTTATAGATCATAATTTTGGTGCTGTAGCTAAGAAATAATTGCCTAACCCAAGTTCACAGATTTTCTCCTATGATTTCTTCTAAAAGTTTCAAAGTTTTAGGTTTTGCCTTTAGATCTATATCTAATTTGAATTTTTGTATATGTTAAGAAGTATGGAAATAGTATATTTTGTACAAAAATTTTTAATTATTCTTACACCATTGATTTTAAACTTTGTTAAGTAGGATCAGAATAGTCACCCATAAAAAGACAGTACCATTCTGAGTAACTCTATCCATCTTACTCTGAATTACCATATATTCAACTCAGGTGGAACTCAAACTATTCCTGTCCTTCTGTGAGCACAAGAAATTATTCCCTTTGTTCATTTTGGATAAATGGTTTTACTCTGGCTCAGGCAGTTCCCTCACTGGCAAGCATTTATCAGTACTCTGCAGAAGATGCAAGAGGCGAGGGAGGGGGTCTTCCCCCAATCTCAGGATTCCTTCTAAGCATTTTCTTTTTTTCTGTGGTGTTCTGCCCTGTGAACCCTAGCTGCCTTGCCCTTCCTAGGCCCCCAATTCTATCACCTCAACTCAGAGAGACTACTGGGATTTGCCTCAGTTTCCCTCATTGCATTACAGCCTGAAAACTCTCTCTAGGCAGTAAGAAGAGTCAATCATAGAGCTCACCTTGTTTCCTTCTCTCAAAGTTCGCTGTACTGCACTGTCTAGTAGCCAATGTGTGAAATCAATTGTTTTATACATTTTGTCTGTATTTTTAGACATTCTGGCAGGAGGGTAAATTTAGTCTTACCCCATCTTGGCCAGAATTAGAAGTATGCTTTTAGTATTTGCAACTTTCACATATTTTTAATCTCTGCATCTCACATTCTGATTAATTTTCTTAGTTTACTCTTTCATTTCTCTAATTTTTCTTTCCTCTCTGTCCTGTTTTAGACTTATGGATTCTATTCCTGCAAAGATCTCTGTGAGGAGTCTAAATATTCTCAGATTAAAGCGTTTTTAAAGCAAATCATTTGTAGCTCTTGCTGCGTGAATTCATGTTTTAGTGTAGTGTTGACATTAACTCTTAGTGATTTGTAATGGTAGACTCTTTTATCTTCAGTGTCTTTGATGTTTCCCATGAGAATTCTGTGTGTGCTGTGTTATAGAGACATATATGTAAGTTGTTGTATTAGTCCATTTTCATAGTGCTATACAGAACTGCCCAAGACTGGGTAATTTATAAAGGAAAGAGGTTTAATTGACTCACAGCATGGCTGGGAAGGCCTCAGGAAACCTGCAATCATGGCAGAAGGCGAAGGGGAAGCAAGGCACCTTCTTCACAAGGCAGCAGGAGGGAGAAGTGCTGAGCGGAGGGGCAAGAACCTCTTATAAAACCGTCAGATCTCATGAGAACTCATTCACTATCACGAGAAAGGCATGGGGGAAACCACTACCGTGATTCAATTACTTCCACCTGGTCTTTCTCTTGACACATGGGGATTATGGGGATTACAATTTAAGATGAGATTTGGGTGGGGACACGAAGCCTAACCATACCAGTTGTTTAATTTTTCCTTTCTTAAAGAAAAAATATTTTTAAAAATTTGCCATGCATGGTGTTCAAGAATTTGTGGGAGTGTGAACTGGGGTCCTGAAACTGCACTTTTATGACACTTGGGAGTCCTACTTCTCTTCTTGATGCATTTTTCTCTCTATTTATGCATATTTCCCTCTTGCATTCCAAAAGCCACTGGTCAGAAATTTTATTATTCCTGTTTCATGGGTGAGATGGCTCCTTCTGGCTCCTGGTTTAGTTAAAGAGTTCACTTATAGCATCTCTGCATCCGAAGGCCTGAGGCTTCAGCTCCTTCTAAGGCAGTGCTACTAAATCTCTGGCCTCAGAGTTAGTCTTTTCTTTAAAAATGAATAAAAAACCAAAAGTTGGATTATGAAGGTCAGAATCAGACATTCAAGGTCAAATCTAGATTCTGTGTTTAGAAGGGATCAGAAAAAGCAAATTTGGGTGTTTTTGATACTCTCCTCATTGCAGGATTTGAAATGTGCCCTTCTTATGGATGAGGTATATGGGTAAATAAAAATGTTATTTATTTGCATCTGTGTTCATTGACCTTTGGACAATATTTTATTTTTTAATAATTAGTCTTATAAGGAGATAATACTGATTATAAAATGGACTGATTTTAATTCATGAAGTTGGCAAGTTTTCTAAGTACTAACATGAGACATTTTCAATTTCTTTTTAGATCTAAATCGGAAGGTAGCACACAGACATATGCCAGCCAGTAAGTAGTTTAGAAGGTGTTTTTAAGATACATGTTGAAAATTAAGAGTTAATTGATAATTCACAATTTATTTCCAATTTTTTTTTGAACATCAATTGGTAAAGCAATGCACTGAAATCCAGACTGCTAATATATAGTCTAATTTAGTTTCTAATAAATTAGTCCTTTCTTCATTTAATAAATGTTTACTGGAAGTCTCTTCTGAGGAAACAAGGAATAAAATAGCTGATTCTAAAATGAGATAGGACATGTATAATTAGTAAAGAAAAAGAATGTATAGGGCCTAGAAGTTACCCAGCTTGTGTTATAGAGGCACGTGCTGTATAATAATGTTTTGGTAAATGATAAACCACATGTATGATGGTGGTTCCATAAGATTATAATGAAGGTGAAAAATTCCTGTAGCCTAGTGATGTTGTAGCCATCACAACATCAGAGAGCAATGCATTACTCACTGGTTTGTGGTGATGCTGGTGTAAGCAAACCTACTGCACAAAGCAAAATATGCAGAATTCTCATGAGACAATCAATGCTACTTAACCTTACAAAAAAAAAAAAAGCCACTAAAGGTGGTGATGCCAACAGCCAAAGCAATCTAAAGAAATACAGGTAATTGAAAAACCTCAAAAAAAAAAAAATGCTTAGGATCCGCATAGAAGTTAAAAAACAAATATAATCCATTAAACAAGAAATAAAGGAGCTGAAAAAAGATTTTATTTTTAAATTGTTTAGGGAAATCACTGAGAATACAACATAAACAGAATAATAACATATAAAAGACCAGTTAAGAAACAAAAGAATTCAGAGACAGAAAATTTAGAGTGGGGAAGAGTCAATATTTGAAGAAATAAGGTCTTGGACTTTTACAAAATTGAAAATGGGTAGTTAAGTGTCTTGACACTGAAAGAGAATATGGAGTCCACTTCACAGACTGTTAGAAAATAGTGAGAACTGAAGTTATGGTTAAAAAATATGAATAGGGGCTGTGTGTGTTGGGTCATGCCTGTAATCCCAGCACTTTAGGAGGCTGAGGTGTGAGGAGCACCTGAAAAATTAAAAATTAAAAAAATAGCCAGGCATGGTGGCATGAGCCTGTGGTCTCAGCTACTTGGGAGGCTGAGGTGGGAGGATTCATTTAGCTTAGGAGTTCAAGACTGCAGTGAGCCATGATCGCCAGTGAGCTCCAGAAAAAAAAAAAAAAAAAAAAGAAAGAAAGAAAGCAAAAGAAATAAAAGAAACATAAGTAGGATGAATAGGGACAAAATGCAATTTATTGATGATTAAAAGAACAGAACAATTAGGTCAATGTAATTAGCTCTCCTCAACCCATAATTATTGTAGAAATTTATACATCTAGATTCATGACTTCTGTCACAATCTATAAAATTCCATCCATTTGTTTGTTTACCCAAGCAGTACACTAATTCAGTCATGAGTCGCTTAACACAAAGATACATTCTGAGAAATGCACCGTTAGGTGATTGTGTTATTGTGCGAACATCACAGAGTGTACTTAAAAAAACCTAGATTGTATAGCCTATTATGTACCTAGGTTATATCCTATAACCTTATATATATAAGCCTGTACAGCATCTTATGGTATGGAATACTGTAAGCAACTGTAACTGATTAAGTATGTATTGAAACATAGAAAAGCTACTGTAAAAATAATATAAAAGATAAAAAATGATATGTCTGTATAGGGCACTTACAATGAATGGAACTTGCAGGACTGGAAGTTGCTCCGGGTGAGTCAGTGAGTGAGTGGTGAGTGAATGTGCAGGCCTAGGGCATTACTGAGTCCTACTATAAACTGTATAAACACTGTGCACTTAGGCTACACTAAATTTACTTAAAAATTTATTTCTTCAATAATATATTAACCTTACGTTTTACTATAACTTTTAAAATTGATACACTTTTTAATTTTATAAAACTTTTTGACTCTTGTAATAACATTTAGCTCAAAAACAAACACATTGTACAAATTCTTTATATCTTTATCGGCTTTTTTGTCTTAATTTTTTTTTCTTTTTAAAATTTTTGGTAAAAACTAAGACAGAAACACATTAGCCTTGGTCTATGCAGGGTCAAGACAGCCAATATCACTGTCTTCCATCTCCACATCTTGTCCTGCTGGGAGGTCTTCAGAATCAATGACATACCTGGAGCTGTCATTGGCCAGGATAACAATGCCACCTTCTGGATTCGTCTTGAAGGACCTGCTTGAAGTTGTTTTACAGTTAATTTTTTTTCTTTAAATAAGCAAAAGGAGTACGCTCTAAAATAATGATAAAAAGGACAGTATAGGCCTGGCGCGGTGGCTCACTCCTGTAATCCCAGCACTTTGAGAGGCTGAGGCGGGCGGATCACCTGAGGTCAGGAGTTCGAAACTAGCCTAGCCAACATGGTGAAACCCCGTCTCTACTAAAAATACAAAAATAAATAAATAAATAAATAAAATTAGCCAGGCGTGGTGGCACATGCCTGTAATCCCAGCTACTCAGGAGGGTGAGGCAGGAGAATCGCTTGAGCCCAGGATGCAGAGGTTGCAGTGAGACAAGATCTCGACATTGCACTCCAGCCTGGGAGACAGAGCAAGACTCCACCTCAAAAAACAAACAAACAAACAAACAAAAGGATAGGATAGTAAACACATAAACCAAAACCAGTTATTATTATCATTATCATGTATTTTGTACTGTACATAATTGTATGTGATGTACTTTCATATGACTGGCAGCACTGTAGGTTTAGATGCTTCTGAAGTTATTCAGCCTCAGCTCCTGTTTAACCTGTGAGCTCTCAGTTTTATCGTTTTTATTGGCAATAGGAGAAGTCTTTCCTTGCTGTGAGCTTCAGTTGTGTATCAAATGTTTGTGTGTGTGATTTTTTTTTTTCAGCACTCCTCTATGCGAGGAATGGAAAGGGAAAATTGTTTTGCCAGCTCACTCTGCTAGATTGCTTAGGAGGCAGTATAGGTTTTAATTTACAAAATACTGTCTTTTTTTAAACAATAAATAAAAAGCCAAAAGTTGGGGTATGAAGGTGAGAATCATGCAAAGTCAAACCTATGTTCTATGTTTAGAAATAGCTAATCTGTGTTTTTTTCTGAACGGATCTATATTCTATGTTCAGAAAAAGCAAATCTGTGTTTTTTGGATACTCTCCTCATTGCAGGATTTGAAATGTGCCCTTCTTGTGGATGAGGTATATGGGTAGATGAAAATGTTATTTATTTGCATCTATGTTCAGTGACCTTTGGACATCATTTTATTTATTAGTAATTAGTCTTTTAAAGAGATAATACTAATTATAAAATGGCCTGATTTTCATTCATGAAGTTGGCAAGTTTTCTTAGTACTAACTTGAGACATTGCTTTCAATTTTTTTTTAGATCCAGCTCAGAAGGCAGCACTCAGACATATGCCAGCCAGTAAGTAGGTTAGAAGAGGTTTTTAAGATACATGTTGAAAATTAAGAATTTATTGATAATTCACAATTTATTTCTAAATATTTTTGAACAATGTCAATTGGTAAAGCAATGCACTAAAATCCAGACTGCTAATATACAGTTGAATTTAGTTTCTAATAAATTAGTCATTTCTTTATTTAATAAATGTTTACTGGAGGTCTCTTTTGAGGAAACAAGGAATAAAATAGCTGATTCTAAAATGAGATAGGACATGTATAATTAGTAAAGAAAAAGAATGTATAGGGCCTAGAAGTTACCCAGCTGGTGTTACAGAGAGAGCCATGTGCTTCATAACAATGTTTTGGTAAATGAGAAACCACATGTATGATGGTGGTTCCATAAGATTATAATGAAGGTGAAAATTCCTACAGCCTAGTGATGTTGTAGCCATCACAACATCAGAGAGCAATGCATTACTCACTTGTTTGTGGTGATGCTGGTGTAAACAAACCTACTGTGCTTTGCAGAAGACTCCTTGTGGAGGTCATGTTTTACCCTCCTGTGTGATAAATTTTTACATTAACTGTTACACTGGAGTTCATGGGAAGCATGGAGTGGTGTCCTTATCCTATACGTGTAAAGAATTAAGGCTCCTGTTTCTCTGTGTGATGATTTTTCCATCCAAATTCCTAAGCCAATTTAAGTGCTCCGGGTTCCCGTGCCTCCTGGTGTTCATTTTTCATCTCTACTTCTGAAGCAATTTCCCTGATGCATCTCTGTGTCTAGTGGCCACAGCTTTTACTATCCCCATTTCATGGGTGGTACAGCCTTTCAGGGCTTCCAGGTTTAGAGAAGGAGGTCAGCTTCATCTTTCTAGGAAGTCTCAACTCTTGATAAGCTGATGTGGCTTATGAAACTGACTTGTGTACCCCCAAAGTCATTCAGATTTAGTTTGTATTTACCTTTCGCATTTTCAATTCTCTCTCTCTCTGTTACTATCACTAGAAATGGCCTTTTCTTTCATAAAGTTTTAGTAAATAGTATGTGTTGTTTTGCACTATTTCTCTGTGTGTGGTATAGGAGGGGAAATTACCACACCTCCCCATCAGTTCAGTCTTCTTGACATTAGTGTGGATTTTGAATCACAACCTACAGCAATGTATTTATCAACGGATAGACTCTGAAGGCCAGAATCAGGCATTTAAAATAAAGCATGTATTCTGTGCTAGAAAGTGAAAGGAGAAAAACAAATCAGTTTTCTTGTTCCTCTGCTTAGTTGAATATTTGAAATTTAAACTTTTTATGGACATTGTATATGAATAAATAAAAACTTGTTTGCATATGCTAATTTAGTAGTCTTTTGAAATTATTCTTCAGTGGTGATTCTTGGTAGAGAAGAATTAACACAGGTTGTAAAATGATCCGACATTCATTCATTATGGAGGCACATTTGTGTTAAGTATTAACGTGGAAGCATTACTTTTTCGCTTTCTTTTAGAACCAGATCAGAAAGCAGCAGTCAAGCTGATACTAGCAAGTAAGTGAATTAGGGGGCATTTTTTTTATATAATAAGTATATGTTAAAAATTGAGATGAACAAATTGATAATTAACAATTACTTGCTAACTATTAACTGAGTAGCCACAATTAGTAAAGTACTGTACCTTAAAACAACCTATTTGCTGATCTAGTAACTTGCGAGTATTTGTCTAAATAAGACAATATCTTCTTTCCTGCAGTTTAGTTAATATGTGTTGGGAGTTTATTTTTGGGAAACAAAGGAAAACATTTTTGGTGAAATGTTTAAGGAGCTAATTCATAAAAAGGATCTTTTTGTATTCTTTTTCTTGGAGTACACCAAGGGGAAGTTTACTTTTTTATTTGGAGATGGCACAACTAGAAACTAATATGTATGCTGATGAATAACTGAGTGAATGCTCGCATAGATCACCTGGGAAGAATTTGTTGAAAAAAAAAAAAGCATCACAAAGGAACAAAAATTCCACATCTTTCATTGTTCTCAGTATTACTAGGTCCCTGTCCATTTCCTGAAAGGTGGATGTCTTTTTATAATAACTCAGTAAGTATCTAGTTCCTCACACTCAGCAATTGTGGGTTTTAGGTCCTTCTGCAGATATAAAATGCTTTGAAGTTTTTACTGCTCCCTCTCTGAGTTACAGTTTTTATATACATTTATAGGGGGCTAGTGTTATTCTTTCTAGGTTGCTCCAAGCCCACTGCTGTTCCCAAACACATCCAAATCCACAGGACAAACTCTCTAAGCTGCACAACAAGGTTGTATGATTTCTTTTGTTCCAGAAGAAATTTACCTCTTCAATAAGAATGCCTGCGTTGCTCATTTTTAATCTGCCTCATTATTTTTTTCCTTACAGTGGCACGTTGGAGTCATGAGTTTATCTTTAAAATTTTGATTTTTATTATCATGTCTGTTCTTATTATTGTGAGCAAGGGAGTTACCATATAGGGATCAGGCCCAGCGAGCCTCAGTGACCTTTTTCTCTTATTATATTCTGTCATCTCAGATAATAAAGGCTATGTCTATCTTGCTCAGCATTGTATAGCTAGCATGTAGCAGAGTGCTCGGCTCATATTATAAGTGATCAATAAATATTTGTTGAAGGAATGAATGAATGACTACCTTTGATCTTCACACAGAGGCAACCAAACCAACAAAAACAGAAACACAAAGGTACATAGACAAATCTATATATATATGTGTTCACATGCATGCATGCACACACATTCATATATCCATGATGATGTTGTCGCTTCCTCCATTTCTTCTTCGCTCAATATATCATCTCTCACCCTGAAACCCTGTTAACATAATTCATCTCTCCCAGGGTTATTTACCTCCATTCAGTGAGGGGTGATAGCATCACCCATAGGAAAATGTACATTTCAATAGACATCGTTTAATTTGCAATGTTAAACCACTGGTCTAGCCTTCTGGCTTACCGTGCACCAGGGAATCATTTTAGAATAACTATTCATTTGAATTTTAGTAACATCATTTGACATGGTGGCTGTGCTTTAGTGATATAACATCCACCATAGTTTTCATGTCATTTATCTTTGGAGTAACCTTTAACTGGTGGGAAGTTGAAGCCAAAGAAAGCAGAGAGATGGAATGAATTCCAGTGAAGCAGGATATTTCCCTGACCCCTTCAGGGGACTCATGACAGGGGTGCCTCGTTTACTCAGCCTCCTGACTCCTCATCGGAGGGAACGCGTGGGTGAACGAGGTGGGAGCTGCTAGAGTGCAGGAGCGCTGGAACCAGCCGGCCATTTCAGCCCTGGCTGGGCGGGATCAAACTCCACTCACTGGGACCCACTGCGCTCCACCACTCGGGAGGGAGCATGCAGGTGAGCAGGTGCAGGAGCCACAGCCAGCACTTTTGGGCGCCGGCAGGGGCGAACTCTGTGCAGGCCCTGCAGCGGTATCCAGGCAGGGTGCCTGTGACTCCGAAAACCCCAGAGGGCGTGTTACAGTGCTCTTTTAGCTTGGACAGCTTAAGTATTAACAGCTCAGTAGGCCCTCTGCCTTTTCAAGTGAGGCGGCTGATCTCCACCAGTGAGGGCGAAGGGACAGTGTGACAGCCTTTTGAATCCACACTTGTGGCTCCCAAACTCTTGTCTGGCATCCAGGAAAAATGAGGTTGCATGAATGAATTGAAAGATGATAAATGTGAGGAATTTTATTGAATAATGAAAGTGGCTTTCAGCGGGAAGGGGAGCTGAAAAGGGGATGGGCAGGAAATCTTCCCCTCAAGTCCAGCCACCTCGGGCTGGACTCTTCTCTGAAGTTATGCCATCAAGCTGTCCCTCTGAAGTCTAGCCCCTTCTCTCCGACATCCAGCCATAGTCCCTGACGTCCAGCTGCCTCTCGTCTCTGCCAACTGAGTCTGGGGTCTTTATAGGCACAGAATGGGGAGGGGCAGGGCCATGGGTGGTTTAGGTTGAGCAGGAAAACAGTGATAGAAATTCTCTCTTTGGATGGTGGTTTCCGGCTTTTCGGCTTGAGGGTGGCGCTTTTGCCAGAGACCCACCCTTTTCTGCCTAGAATTTCTCTGCCACCTGTTCCCATCACCAGTATGGGTCACATTAGTACTACTTTAGTGTAATTATTTTAAATGTCTAAATTCTTTCAGTATTTCCAGTCTTTTCCTAAGCAACAGAAGAATCTTTGACAATTTATCAGCAAACTCTTAACATTACTCTCCCATATTATTGTCATTTGGCTTTTAGCTTCTTCCAGGTTTTTACCTACAGAACCCTACCCTCCATTATTATTATTATTATTACTATTATTATAATCATTTTTATATTAAATTAATACCTGCTAAGAGCTTAAAACGTATTTATCAGTTGCTTTGCTCTCACTATTTATTGTTGAATCCATTGATTTTTCATTATGGGTTTAGTTTCCTTTTTACAACCCTTTTAGTTTCAGTTTAGTGATTCTGTATTATCAACATTTGTGTTAAATGCCTGAACATGCTTTTTTTATCCACACTGAATTTTGAATGATAGCTTAAATGGTTACTCCTAGCTGAGAAGGACTTTTCTGAAAGCGTTTTGTAATATTCTGTTGTTGTAATGTGCCATGTACTGTCATTGATGAGACCTTAGTTGTCAGTATCATTATTTATTCCCCCCTCAATTAATGTGCTTTTTCTAGGTGGCTTCTAAGTTTTCCTTTTTGTCTCAAATGTTTTGTTATTTTATGATTATATGTTCTGATAGAATTTGTTTTTATTTATCCAGCTCTAGATTCAATATAGTCTTTAGATATCAGGACTCAGGTCATTAAATCTAAAAAATTAATTCAGTCATTATGTCTTCAATTATTGACTCTTTCTCATTCTTTCTCTTTTTTCCACTGGAAATGATTATATTTAGGAGGGTCTTCTCATTTTAGCCTTCATGTTTCTTTCGTCTTTTATTTATTTTTTTTAAGCGGAGTCTCTGTTGCCCAGGCTGGAATGCAGTGGCGCGAGCTCAGCTCACTGCAACTTCCATCTCCTGGGTTCAGGCAATTCTCTGCCTCAGCCTACCAAGTAGCTGGGCTTACAGGCACCTGCCACCACGCCTGGCTAATTTTTGTAGTTTTAGTAGAGACGGGGTTTCACCATCTTGGCCAGGCTCTTCTTGAACTCCTGACCTTGTGATCCACTCGCCTCGGCCTCCCAAAGTACTGTGATTGCAGGCGTGAGCCACCATGCCCGGACTAGCATCCATGTTTCTTAACTGGGTTCTTCATGTATTACATCTTTCTACCTCTCTATCTGACATTGTTTCACTTCCTTATATCAGTTTCCAAATCCTCCGTTTTCTTAATAGCTATTTTTTTTTGCCTCAGTCCTGCCTTGATTTGTGTGGAGATCCTAAATATTTCAATTTTGAAGATTTTTATATTATCTGTTGATCTTGATGTGTGAATTTTTGTTTTGCAATTTAGGTTGATAAGCCCACCCTCAAGGGCAGTGATTGTTCTCATGGGACTTCTGCATGCCCTGAGTTGTAGAGGCATGCATTGGGAGGATGAGAGTATTTCAGGTTTGCCTCTCCTGGGGCATGAATGTTGTAATGTTTTCCATGCTTGCTCTTTCAGATTTGCGAGTAGTGGAACTGAGCAGCTGAGGTCTGCACTGCGTGGTGCAGGCCTGTGATTTCTGCATCTCTAGATGATCCTTTTCTTTTCACTTGCCTGAGAAAATTTGCTAGTTGTGTTCTGAAGTGCAGTGGTCATAGCTTTTAATATTTCCATTAAAGACTACCAGGCTTGGGAAACTGCTCCATTGCAGCTTTCTAACACGTAAAGATCCATGCCCTCAACTCCTTCCAAGCTAGGGTTATGAAAACCACATCTTTTAGGGTATAAGTAATTCAGCTTTAGCTCTTGTTTTCCCTCTGAGCTTCTAATTTATTTTTTTTTAAATGGTAGAAGGAAAACCCTTTGTGACTGTCAATCTTAGTTATGCATACGTTTTTTGTTTTCTTCAGCTTTTCTCTATGTATCTAATAGAAAGGATAAGTTTTACTATTTGTCCAGTCTGCCAAACTGGTCAGAAGTAAATGTAAGTTTTAATTTACAAACTGCTGCAATTTATATATTAACAAATACAAAACTAACTTGGAGGCTGAAGAACAGGTTTAGACATTTACAGTTAAATTTACATTAACTTCGAAGTAATTTGAAAAACCTCTGCTATCTTGATACTCTTGATTCTCTACTAGAGAATTTACATTTTGTACTATATGTTGCATTTGGTGTTTGAG
The DNA here is from genome assembly GCF_000001405.40 of Homo sapiens. Classification (NCBI taxonomy): domain Eukaryota; kingdom Metazoa; phylum Chordata; class Mammalia; order Primates; family Hominidae; genus Homo; species Homo sapiens. Next base: position 39,280,633 of record NC_000008.11, read on the forward strand.
TAAAAAAGAATGCTATTTATTTGCATGCCCCACATATTTAAATAATTAGTTTTGGTGCTATAAAATGGCCTGTTTTTCATTCTCAAAGTAGGCAAGCTCTTAGTGTTAACTTTCAGATATTGTTTTTAATTTATTTTTATTTTTATTTATGTTTATTTTTATTTTTTTGAGATGGAGTCTTGCTCTGTCTCCCAGGCTGGAGTGCAGTGGCGTGATCTTGGCTCACTGCAAGCTCTGCCTCCTGGGTTCACTCCATTCTCCTGCCTCAGTCTCCCGAGTAGCTGGGACTACAGGCGCCCGCCACCACACCTGGCTAATTTTTTGTATTTTTAGTAGAGACGGGGTTTCATCGTATTAGCCAGGATGGTCTCGATCTCCTGACCTTGTGATCCACTCGCCTCAGCCTCCCAAAGTGCTGGGATTACAGGCATGAGCCACCGCGCCTGGCCAATTTATTTTTAATAATAGATATTTAATATATATTGTTTTTAATTTATTTTTAGATCCAAATCAGAAGATAGTGCTGAAGCATATACTAGCAGGTAAGCAGGATAGAAAGTGTTACTTATAAATAAGTATGTTGAAAATTCAGAATGAAAAAGTTGATAATTCACAAATAATTGCTCAACATTTTTTGAGCAGCCACAATCGATAAAGTCTACACCAAACCCAACTTATTAATATTTCCCATTCTACAAGCATTAATTAATTCCATTAATCTTTTTTCTTCAGTTGACTAAATTTTTGTTGATTGCCTACTCTTGTGGTACATAAGAAATAAGCTAGTGAAATTTAATAAGAGACAAATATTTATGATTACTTTGTGAAACTAAATCATAAGCTGAACATTTTGCATCCTTTATTCTGGGATACACAAAGGGGAAATAGTACTTTTTCAGGTTGCATTTACACCCCCAAAAACTCAATGTGAACAACTGAGCGAATGATTATTTCCACTTAGGAAGAGTTTAGGAGACAGTATTATAAACACACTAAAATTCTACATTTCCCACAGATCCTCAATGTCCCACACCTATGTTAACAAGGGTTCTCTGAACTCGTTTAGAGAAGCTTTTGGTTTCCTACACCCCACAGTTGTGGCTTTGTGATCCTTCTGAAGTTATCAAATATTTACTGCTATGTTCGTCATGGTTTCTCCATTGTAGAGTTTTCATTTTCTTATATTGCCTAGTATTTTTCCTTAAAGTGACCTCTTTGAGTTACATTCAACCCACTGCTATTCCAAAATATCCTTTATACACACAGATTAAATTTTCTAGGCTACACCAAAACATTATATGGTTTGTATTTTCCCCAATGAAGGCACCCCATCCATTAGGAAAGCTACAGTATTTCTGTCTCCTTTATCCTTTCTGTTGTTCTTGGATGTCTCCTAACATAAGCACCCTTTTACAGTCATCAGTTACTTTCTCTAAGCTATGTTTGAGAAAAAAGCTGATTTTCTTTGTTGTCTCCACTCTCCGTCACTGTCACCAAGGGAGTTGTGATAGAGTGCTCAAACACTGCAATTCTCCCAATCTTCTGCTCACCTAGAAGCATTACTCTCCTTTTAGGCTCTGAAATCACTTGAGGGTCAAGTCCATGTTTATTTTCCCTACCTATTTATAGGTAGCATCTTGCAGGGTTAATGCTCAATAAATACTTGCTTAACGAATGAGTGGTTTCTCTTGAAGTTCACATATGCACATATAATTCTTAGTGGTGTAACTACTCTAATTGTCCCCTTACATTATCTCTCCTCATAAAATATGCCATAATCATATCATAATCATCCTTTTTAAAAGTAATAAATTCAACTAGATTGAGGGATAGACAAGGGCATCATCTATAGGGTAATATACACTGGATTTGGGGAGTATAATTTGGAATGTTAACCCATTATTCTAACTTTGTGTTTAGCATACCCAGAAAGGTATTTGGTGATTATTCTTTCACTTAAACTTAGTAAGCTAAGCAGACATAGTTGCTGTCCTTTACTGTTAGAGCATTTACTGTATTTTCTTGTATTTCTGTTCCTTTTACATTTATATTTTTAGTATTTTTGTTGCCGTTGGGAAGCCAGTGGGAGATGTTGGTAGAGCCAATTCCTTGGGTAAACATAATGAAACAATATATTTTTTTAAGCCAGAAATCTAATGGGTGTACATTTCAGTAGACTCATATGTCTATAAATACAGATCTTTTTATTGGTTTGGGAGATAACTAATTATATTAAATAAGAATGTTTCATGGTCAGAGTAGTAGGAAAAATCAACAGTAAGTTTTGAAGATATAAAATAGCAAAGGTAGGGAAAGGACGAAAGAAGTAAAATTGTGCATTATCACTGAATACTCTCACTTATATTGTATTATCTTCTCTGTGAATTAATCTTGATTAATTTGTCTTCAGTTCATTCTTTTTCTCCCCCATTCTTTTAGTTAGGGGATTAGAAATAAGGAATCTGTGTATATAAAAATGGAAAAGACTGGGTGTGGTGGCTCACATTACAAAATGCTGTAATCCCAGCATTTTGGGAAGCCAAGGTGGGAGGACTGCTTGAGGTCAGGAGTTCAAGACAAGCCTGGGCAGCAAAGTGAAATCCCATTTCTACAAAGAAATATAAAAATTTGGCTGGGCATGTTGGTGTATGCTTGTAGCCTTAGATATTTGGGAGGCTGAGGCAGGAGGACATTTGAGCCCCCAGGAGGTTGAGGCTGTGGTGGGCCACAGTCATATTACTGCCCTCTAACCTGAGTGGCAAAGTGAAACTCCATCTCTAAAAAAAAAAAAAAAAAAAAAAAAATGGAAAAGAGGTAGAAATTTGGCAAATATTTCTTTTTTAGTACAACTTTGAACGGAAAGAGGAAGAAATTGCCATAACAAATAAATACAACATAAGTTTGACAGGTTGTATTATATCAGCCTAAAAATGTTATTTCCTTATTTCCTTAGATCCAAATCACAGGACAGTACCCAAACACAAAGCAGTAGGTAAGTATATTAGAAGGTGTTTCTTAAAATAAATACATGTATAAAATTAAAATAAAACTCATAATCCACTATTAATTCCTAAGTATGGACTGGGTAGATGAATTGGTAAAGTACTGCACCAATAAATAACCTATCTTTCTTTTATTCTTTTTTTTTTTTTTTTTTTTAAGACAGAGTCTTGCTCTGTCGACCAGGCTGGAGTGCAATGGTGCGATCTCAGCTCACTGCAACCTCAGCCTCCCGCGTTCAAGCGATTCTCCTGCCTCAGCCTCCTGAGTAGCTGGGATTACAGGCGTGTGCCGCCATGCCCGCCTAATTTTTGTATTTTTAGTACAGACAGGATTTTGCCATGTTGGCTAGGCTGGTCTTGAACTCCTAACCTCAGGTGATCTGCCCCCCTCAGCCTCCCAAAGTGCTGGGATTACAGGCGTGAGCCATCATGTCCAGCCTAAATGACCTAGCTTCAAATGACCAATCTTTATTAATCTTGTTACTAATGAGTATTTAAATAACTTAGTCTGTTTTTTTTCAGTTTAGTAAAGTTCTCTTAAGTTTATTGAGAACTTGCTCTTGTTGATAGAATAGAATTAAAGAGTTGTACCTACAAGATGTAAGATCTGTAAATTTGTTTATAAAACAAATCTGTAATCAGGACCATTTTATTCATTAGGCAGCATAGGCTATAATGCTTCAGGTCTATGAATTTTCAAAGATCAAAAGGCCAAAATACTGTTATACACACACACACACACGTACACACACACACACACACACACGTACACACACATACACACACACACGGAGTAATTGGCTGCAAGGTATGAAAAAAGGAAAATTAATGTGAACTTAAATTTCTAAAACATGTAAAGACATTAACTTAATTGTTAAATTCATAAACATTTCATTTTATATGAAAAAATTTTAATTTTTTCATTTGCAAGTACTTCTGATTAAATATGATGGTTCCTCAGAAATCAAAGAAAAGCATAAAGTAAATAAGTGGCTCATGGTTAAATAATTTCACAGGCAAAATTGTAAACATCCTTTCAATAATTCTTTTTTTCGTGCCACATGAATTTTCCACTTGGCAATACCTCAGCTGCTTGTACAGTGGGAGGGAATTTGCTGTCAGTACTTTGAGCACGTGTTTTTTTGTTCTCTTCCACAGTAACTAGTGATTCCTTCAGAAGGCAACGGATAACATCGAGAGTCTCGCTAAGAAATGAAAATTCTGTCTTTCCTTCCGTGGTCACAGCTGAAAGAAACAATAAATTGAGTGTGGATCAATTTGCATGCCAGCGTGTTCGTTTTTTTTCTTCTCTTTCCTTTACCCCCGGGGACTACAGTTTTGCAGGTGCAGGGCCCTTAATTGAAAACAGTCTTCCAAACTCATCTCAGCTGTCCCCGTTCCCACCTGACTCCTCATGAGCTCTTCTCATTGTCTTCTCTGCAGCTCTTCCATGACTCCTGCCCCTGTGCCCCCTGCCCCATGCCACCCCCTCTGATGTACTGCCTGGGGCCCCAGCTACAGCACCTATTCAATCTTACCCATGACAGGATCTGGGCAGTGTACTGTGTTCCTCCTTCTGGTCCTTCTCATGGGATTTGGCTGGCTGCACAGAGGTCCAATATATCCAGATATTTGCCCTCCTCATACTCCCCATGACCCCAGCCTGGGTTTCTGAGGGAGGACTGTTTGTTTCAGGGGTTGTAACTTCCCATCCAGGCCTTTCCTTCTACCCCTCACCTTTCTCTTGTCCCTTGGCCAAGTGACCCACAGGGTCAAGCCCAGAAGACAGAGAGGCAGCTTCTGAAGGACCCTTAGGCATGGGTCTTAAAGGCAAATATTAAACCCTTGTTAGAGTTTGGTATGAGGCTTGATAAAATGAATTAGAGAAAGGTTCTCTCATTTTCCATTTTCTGAAATAATCTGAAAAACTTGTTTAGATTTTCAGTTAAATGTTTGTCAAAATTCACCAGTGAAGTTCTCTGGGACTGGAGTTTTTTTTTTTTTTTTTTTTTTTTTTTTTTTTGGCGGGGGGATGATTTTAAATTACAGATTCAATTTATTAAATAGAGAACTATTCAAATTTTCCATTTATTCTTGTGATAGGTTTTTTCAGGCACTGTATTTTTAAAAAAAGTTTATCCATTTTATTTAATGATTAGACTTGTGGCCTAATGTTGTTCATAATATTCTTTTTTATGTCTATAGGATCTATAGTTATGTCCCCTCTTTCATTCCTTGTAATAATAAGGTTTTTTTTTCCTCTCATCAGTCTCGTGAAGAGTTTATCTAGTTAATTAATTTAAGAATCTCTCCAGAACCGCTCTTGACTTTGTTATTTTTCTCTATTACATCTCTGTTTTCTACTTCATTGATTACACATTTTATTAATTTGTTTTTCTTCTACCTTCTTCAAGTGAAAGTTTAGATCAATGATTTTAAATCTTCTTTTCTAATGCATTTAAAGGTATAAGTTTGTCCTATGTACATTTTTAGCTCCATTCCACATATTTTATGTTGTGTCCTCATTATAGTTCAGGTCAAAACATTTTCAGATTTTTATTTTGATTTCTCTTTTGAGTTATAGATTATGTAGAAGCCTGTTTAAATCCAAATATTGGTATTTTTTTAGCTCACTTTTTCCTTATTGTTTTCTCAATGGTGACCAGAGAATATATTTATATAATCTCAATGTTTTAAAATTATTTTCTTGAGTTGGTTTAGCCTATGATATATTTTGTTGCATGTTCTGTGTGTACTAAATAAGTACATGTGTATTTTGCTGTTGCTGAGTATATAAATGTTAATTAAGTCATTTGTTGACAGTGTTCTTGAAATCTTGTTTTTTCCTCTTGTTCTATCAATTCTTGAGAAAGATGTGTTGAAAGTGCCAACTATTGTTTTTTATTATTGTTGTTATGTAACTTGTTTTACACACATTAATTGTATTTCATGTATTTTGGAGTTACATTTTAGTGCATGCATCTTTAGGACTATTATGTTTTCCTAATGAATTGGCTATTTATCATTATGCAATTCTCGTTGTTGTCTCTAGTACTACTCTTAATTTTGAATTCTGATTTTGTGATAGTAGTATTGCCGTGCAGCTTTTTTTTTTTTATTGGCAGCTTTTTAAAGTTAGTCTTTGCACGGGGTATCTTTTTCATTCTTTTACTTCCATTGCATATTTTCTTATATTTAAGGTGTATCTGATGTACAGAGTATGCAGTTGGTTCTTGTATTTTTTAAAAAATCCAGTCTGACAATGTTTTTAAGTTGGAGTGCTTAAAAGCATTCATATCTGTTTATTTTTGTTTTTAATTGACACATAATAATTGTACATATTTATGACATAAGTGTGATGTTTCAATACGTATGGACATTTCATAAAAAATAAAATGAGTGTATTTAGCATATTTATCTCCTTATACATTTATCATTTATTTGCAGTGAGAACATTCAAAATCCTCTCATCTAGCTGTTTGGAAATGCAATTGGTCCTCCATATCTACGGGTTCCACATCCATGGGTTTCCAGGTTTCTGTGTTTTGCCATAAATGACAGATTTCTTTTTTATGGCTGAGTAGTATTCCATTATGTATATATATGACATTTTCTCTATCCTTCCATCCATTGATAAACACTTAGGTTTACTCTACATCTTGGCTATCTTGAATAGTGTTTCAATAAACATAGGAGTGCAGGTGTCTCTTCTTCATTGACTCATTGGTTGTTCAGGAGCACTTTGATTAATTTGCATATATTTGTAAACTTTCCTAGTTTTACACCATCATGGTCAGAAAACATTACTTGACATGATTTCAGTTGTAAATTTGTTAAGACTTGTATTGTGGCCTAATATATTATCTAACCTGGAGAATGTTTTATGTGGTGATAAGAATGTGTATTCTGCAGCTATTGGAGGGAATGTTCTGTAAATGTGTGTTAGGTCCAGAGCTGGTCTGTTGGTCTAGAGTTACAGTTTAAATTCAGTGTTTCTTTGTTGACTTTCTGTTTGGATGATCTGTCCTTTACTATTAATGTATTGCAGTCAATTTCTCCCCTTAAATTAATTAATATTTGCTTTATATATTTTGGTGCTCCAATTTTATGTGCTTATATATTTGTGATTGTATATCCTCTTGCTGAATTGACCCCTTTATTTTGTAATGACCTTCTGTGTGTCCTTTTTTATGGTTTTAAATTCCAGTTCTATTTTATCTAAGTATAGCTATCCCTTCTCTCTTTTGGTTTCCATTTGTGTGGAATATCTTTCTCCATCCCTTCACTTTCGGTTGTTTGTGTCCTTATCAGTGAAGTGAGTCTCTTGTAGGCAGCATATATTTGCATCTTCTTTTTTAATCTATTCAGCCATTCTGTGTCTTTAATTGGAGAATGTAATCCATTTACATTCAAGGTAAGGTCCTACTACTGCCATTTTGTGAATTTTTTCAAATGGTTTTATAGTTCCTTCCTTCCTTCCTCTCTTACAGTCTTCCTTTGTGATTGAATGATTTTCTCTAAGAGAATGTTTTGATTTCATGCTTTTTATTTTTTTGTGTATTTACTTTGTGGTTACCAGGAGGCTGAACAAAAAGTCTTGGAGATACAATAAGTTATTTCAAGCTGAAAACAACTTAACTTTGATCTAAATAAAATGAAGACTGTATATTTTAACCCTACCCCCCTTACATTACATTCTGAATTTCTGATGTCACAATTTACATCTTTTTATATTGCATGTCCCTTAACAAATTATTATAATTATTTTTGATAGTTTTGACTTTTAACTTCTATACTAAATGTATAAGTGTGATTTACAATCCATCATTATAGTATTAGAGTATTCTGAACTTGACTGTGTACTTATTTTACCAGTGAGTTTTATACTTTCATATGTTTTTGTGTTACTATTAGTGTCCTTTTCTTTTGACTTGAAGAACTCCCTATGTGTTTCCTGTATGGCATATCTAGTGGTGATACATACCCTCAGCTTCTTTTTGTCTGGGAAAATCTTTCACCTTCATTTCTGAAGAAAAGCTTTGCAGTATAAAGCATTAGTTGACATTTTGGTTTTTTCTTCAGCACTTTGAATATATTATTCAATTCTCTCCTGGCTTGTTTCTGCTGAGAAATCTGCTGATAGTTGTATTGGAACTTCTTTGTATGTAATCTGGTTTTTATCTCTTGATGTTCTAGAATTTTTCTTCATCTTTGATTTTTGATAGCTTAATTATTATATGTCTTGATGAATTCCTCTTTGGTTTGAATTTGATTGAGATGTCTGTGCTTCTTGCGTCTGGGTACTGGTATCTTCTCTAGATTAGGGAAGTTTTCAGCCATTTTTCTTTATATATGCATTCTGGCCCCTTTTCTCTTTATTCTCTTTCTGCAACTCCTATTGTGCAAAAGCTTGGTCCCATATGTCCATATACTTTCTTTATTCTTTTTGCTCATTTGAATGGATGATTTCAAAAGCTCTGCCTTCCATCTCACTGATTCTTTCTTCTACTTGATCAATTCTGCTATTAAAGATTTGTTTTAAATTTTTCAGCTCAGTGCTTCTATTCTCTATCTCTAGGATTTCTATCTTTTTTTTGGTTTTTATTTATTTGTCAGTCTTGCGTTTTCCATGTTACTGTTTTCCAAATTTCATTTAATTTTTCTCTCTATATATTCCTGTAGTTCACTGAACTTCTTTATGAGTGTTACTATGAATTGGCATTCATTTAATAGCTGTCCATATCTTTGGGGTTTGCCACTGGAGCTTTATTAGTTTCTTTTAAAGGTGTTATGATTCCATGATTTTTTTGTACTTCTCTTATCCTTACATTGTTGTCTGTACCTTTGAGGAGAGATTCATATCTTCTGGCCTTACGTGTGTTCTTTGCCAGGTATAGAGCTCCACTAATTAACTAGTCTGTGATTCTGAAAGGGCTAGCTGGTGGTGACACCAGAGAGGTAAGACTTGTTGTGGGTTTTCAAGTTGCCTGGGCTGCTGCTGTTGCTCCAATATCAGAGGTGGCTACTATCTGAGCTCCAGTGACTGGTGAGACCACTGGCTGCGCTCTGCTATTAGGCAGAGCTGCTGGCCAAGTACTCTGATGGCCTCTGATCAGGCTGGTCACAAGATGTCTTCCCTGGCTGGGCAATTTTGCTATTTTCTATCTGTATTTGAACAGGGCTGCAGGTGTGTTCTGAGGTTAGGTGGTGTTGCTGCTCTGGAGAGGAAGGATCTGAGGCTATGGTCCCTAACAATGTGTGATTGGGGATATGCTTCCCTCTTTGGCTGGAGCTGTGGGATGAACCTTTAGCTGAGTTGAATGGCTGTTTGACCTCAAGCAGGACTAGCTCCTACATTTCTCCAAATGCATACATACAGGTGGGAGTCTCCCTGCATGGGTGATGTCTTTGGGAGGACTTTTTGGCTTTGTGGAACCACTGCATGCCTTCCTGTGTCAAGCTGTTATAGCCTCTATGCTTCTCTGAGAACCACGGAGGTGGAAATATCCCTGCCGAGGCAGGGTCTTTGGGTAGGCTTTTTGGTTGTGTGAAGCCACTGCTTGCCTTCCTGGTTAAAGCCAGTGTAGCTCTTTTGCTTGCCTGAGGTCACTGGAGGTGGGAGTCTTCCTGCCTTGGTGTGGTTATTGGGCAAGCTGTTTGGCTGTGTGGAGCCACTGCTTACCTTCGTAGGTCAAAGTGGTGTAATCTCTTTATTTTTCTGAGATCTGCAAAAGTGTGAGTCTGTTGGATTGGGTGGGATAATTGCTCTGGCTTTTTGGCTGTGTGGAGCTACTGCCTGCCTTCCTGGGCCAAGCCAGTGTAGTCTTTTTGCTTCAGAGATCCATGGCAGTGGCAGTCTCTCTGCCTTCGTGGGGCTATTGGGATGGGTGCTGAGGCTGGGCAGGGAAACAACCAGTCTAGGAGCTGAAGCTAGACTGTGCTTCCTTCCATGCCTCTAAAGGTGACTAACTCAGTTTGGCACATGTGCTATGGGACTGGCTGATATCTAATGGAGCACCGCAGTTGGCAAGAATGCAGAGGTACCACCAGGATCCATGTGCTGGTTGCTTTCTTTTTTTCTAACTGACTCCAATGCATTCAAGTCATGTCATTTCCTTTAGTGTTCTCTCTGAAGCAAGTTCCAAGTAGGTGTTTTGAGAAGTGTCTTGGTATGCTAGAGAAGCTGGATGTCTGCCTCCTATTCTATTTTTCTCCTGTAGAAACAGAGACAGTTAGGGAAACCCTCTCTGTCTGGTGCTATGCCAATTTGGGGGGCGAGGTGGGAGCATAGTCAGAGTGAGACTGTTCCTCTTACCCTTCTAATTCAGACTTTGTTCAGTTTTACATATCATGCAGGTGTCTCCAGCTTGTTTTCAGGTGTTGGGGTTTTCCAATCTGTGGATGTTGCTGGTTAAATTTTGTTGTGGGGCTAGTGGGTAGTGGAGCTCAAGACTTCTTACTTCACCAACCATCTTGCTGACATCATTCCTAGCATTTATATTTAAATTAATTTCTGATATTATTGATTTTAAGTCTATCAGTTTCTATTTTTCTATTTCTCTCATCTTTTTTGTTCTTTTGCTTTTTCCTTCTGTACTTATTTCAGGTTAATTGAGCGCTAATCTGATTTTTTTCTGTTCTATGGGCTTTGTAGCTCATTATTAATAATATTTGGTGTTTACTCTAGAGATTACAGTATGGATTCTTAATGTATCAAAGTCTACCTTGAATTAATATTATCCTACTTAACAAACAACAAAAGAATTTTGTATCAGTATGATTCCTAATACTTCCTTCTACCCTTTGTATTATTACATTTAATTGTATGTGTGTTATAAATTCTGACATATTGCTATTATTTTTACTTGAAACAGTCAGTAGTGCTTTGAAAAAGCTTAAATAGTCTTTTACATTTACTCCATGTTTATTCTTTCTGGTGTTGTAGATTTCTTCTTGTAGCTTTGTGCTTCCATCTGGAATCACTTTCCTCACCCTGAATAACTTTCTTTGGTATTCTGTGCAGTGTATTTTGGATGGTGGCAAATTCTGCACACTTTTATTCTGTTAGAAAAAATTTTATTTACTTTCTTCTTGGTAAGATACAGTTATTATGATTTGTAATCCAATCTTGCACCACTTTTATTTTAAAGATAGATAAGAGGTTTATAAAAAGAACAACTTACTCAAACCCATGTTTTTCCTATTATTGCCTGTGGCCTTATGGATTAAGACAAGTGCCTCTAGAAGGGGAAAATGTAGGACAGGAAGGCCACATCTGCACGTTTTCAGGAAAATCCTCTACCTGACACTCAAATGACAACATTCCTTTCATTGATAGTATTTCACATCATTTTTATTTTGCTTTCTTACTTCCTCTTGTGCCTTCCCATGGCCTCTAAGGCTCAGCCTGTCTGTCTCCTGCTTGTCTCCTAGTCTTCTTTCTGTTCCATAAAAACCAGCCACACTGGCCTCCTTAACAAGCCAGTTTTATGCCCATCTGAGGCCTTTTGCACTTGCTGTTTCTTCACTGTGGAATGTTCTTCACCAGTTCCTGTCATGCCTGTCTTCCTCTCATAATTCACGTCCCACTCAAATGTTTCCTCCTAGAGGTGAGCACTCAACTACAGTGCCCTCACCTGTCACTCCCCATTGTGCATAGAATTCTAGATTGGCATTTTTTTCCTTTGGCACTTTATATTTATTTCTTCTTGGTTTCATTATTTCTGCTTAGAATGAGTTATTATTCATGTTTTTGTATGTTGGATTGTAATATACCTTCCATCACACCTCTTCAGTTGCTTTTAAGATGTTTCCCTTTGCTGTGGCTTCTGAAAATTTGATCATGATATGCTTACATGTGGTTTTCTTTGAATTTATCCTTCTTTGTGTTTACCTAACTTCTTTGATCTGTTGCTTAATGTCTCTCCACAATTATGGAAAATTCTCAGACATTAAGAATCTTTCTTTTGCCTCATTCTCCTTAAGTGACTAAAATTATACAACTTCTTGCTCATTTAATATTGTTTCATGTGTCTCTGAAGTCTTGCTCTGTTTTATTTTTTATTTTTCATTATTTTTTCCCTTTGCTGCTTAGTTTGAATAAGTTTTGTTGACCTGTCTCAAGTTCACTGATTATGAATTTATGTATTTAACTGTAAACTGACAACTTATAATTGTGTATATTTATGGGATACAGAGTAATGTTATGACTCATGAATACAATGTGCAATAAATAAATCCAATTAACATGTCCATCACCAGGCTGAGGCTGGAGAATGGCGTGAACCCGGGAGGCGGAGCTTGCAGTGAGCCCAGATCGCACCACTGCACTACAGCCTGGGCGACAGTGCATGACTCCGTCTCAAAAACAAACTAACAAACAAACAAACAAACAAAAAACATGTCCATCACCTTAAATATTTATCATTTTTTTGTAGTTAGAATGTTTGAACTTTATTCTCTTAGCAATTTTTTAAATGTACAACACATTATTGTTACATTTCCCATACTGTGCAATAGGTCTCAAAAAAATCCTTATTCCTTTTGTGTAACTGAGATTTTATATCCTATGACATCATATCCCTATTTCCCCACCCCCAGCCTCTGTAACCACCATTCTACTCCCTGCTTCTATGAGTTTGATTGTTTTAGATTCCACATATAAGTGAGAACAGGCAATATTTGTCTCTCTGTGCCTTCATTATTTCCCTTAGCATAATGCCCTCCAATTCCACCCATATTGTCACAAATAACAGAATTCTTCTTTTTTAGGGCTGAATAGCATTCATTATAGCACATTTTATTCATTTATTTGTTAATAAACACTTAGGTTGACTCTGTAACTTGGCTGTTGTGAACAGTGCTGCAGTGAACACGGGAGTGCAGACATCTGGTCAACAAGCTGATTTCAAATCTTTTGGATAAATACCCAGAAGTGGGATTGCTAGATCATACAGTAATTTGATTTTTACTATATTGAAGTAGCTCCATGCAGTTTTTCATGTCTGTACACGTTTACATTTTCACCAGACAAGTGTTCCCTTTTCTCCACATCTTTGCCAATACTTGTTAATTTTTGTCTTTTTGATAATAACCATTCTGACAGGAGTGAGATGATATCTCATTGTGGTTTTAATTTGCATTTTCCTAATTATTAACGATGTTGAGCATTTTAAACTATATTTTTTGGCTATTTGTATGTCTTCTTTTGAGAATGTCTCTTCAGATCCCTTGCCCATTTTAAAACCAGTTTTTGTTTGTTTCCTTGTAAGTTCTTTGAATTCCTTCTGTATTTTGAATATTAACTATTTTTCAGATGCATGGCTTACAAATATTTTCTCTAAATCCTTAGATTATCTCTTCACACGGTTATATGTTCTCCTTGCTGTGAAGAAGCTTTTTAGTTTGATGTAACCTCAATTTATTTTTGCTGTCGTTGCCTGTACATTTGGGGTGAAATCCAAAAATCATTGCCCAGACCAATGTTTTGGAATTTTTCCCTATGCTTTCTTTTATTAGTTTTATGGTTTCTCATCTTATGTTTAACTCTTTAATATATTTTGAGTTGATTTTTGCATATGGTATAAGTGTCTAATATTGTTCTGCATGTGGATATCCAGTTTTCCCAGTACTATTTACTGAAGAGATTATTTTTCCCCATTGTGTATTGTTGACAATTTTGTTGAAAAGCAATGGACCATACATATATGGGTTCAGTTCTGGGCTATTCTCTCTATAAAAATTGATGTGTCTATTTTTTTTTTGCCAGTACCATGCTATTTTAATTACTGTAACTTTGTAATATCATTTGAAGTCAAATAGTGTGATGCTTCCATCTTTGTTCATTTTGCTCATTACTACCTTGGCTATTTGGCTTTTTACTTTCTAATTCCATATGAATTTTCAGATTGTTCTTTTTTTACTGTGAAAAATGACATTGGAATTTGTATGGAGATTGCATTGAATTTGTAGATTGATTTTGGTAGTATGGACATTCTAACAATATTAATTCTTCCAGTTCATAAATACAGGATTCTTTTCATTTATTTGTGTCTTCTTCAATTTCTTACATCAACATTTTATAGTTTTTAGTGTATAGGTTTTTCATCTCCTTGGTTAAATTTATTTCTAGATATTTTATTTTTTGTAGCTATAGTAAATGGAATTGTTCTCTTGATTTTATTTCTGAAAAGTTGCTAGTATATAGAAATGCTACTCATTTTTGAATGTTGATTTTGTATCCTGCAACTTGACTGTATTCATTTATTAGTTCTAACAGTTTTCTGGTGGATTATTTAGGGTTTTCTATGTAAAAGATCGAGCCATCAGCAAACTGACAATTTTACTTCATTTTTCCTATTTGGATGCCTTACCTTTTATTTCTTTCTCTTGCCTAATTGCCCTCGTGTGGACTTCTAATGCTATATTATATAGAAGTGGTGCAAATGGCCATTCTTGTCCACTTTTTCCAGAACTTAGATAAAGGCTTTCAGTTTTCACCATTGAGTATAATGTTAGCTGTGATCTTCTCATACATGGTCTTTATTATGTTGAGGTGTATTCCTTGTATACCTAATTTGGTGAAAGTTTTTTAATAATAAAAGGACGTTGAATTCTTTCACATGCTTTCTCTGTATCTGATGATATGATCATATGGTTTTTTGTCTGTCATTTTGTTGATGTGATGTATCACATTTATTGATTTACATACGTTAAACCATCTTGCACCACTCAGATAAATCTCATTTGATTATAGTGGGTGATTCTTTTAGGATGTTTTTGAATTCAGTTTGCTAGTATGAGGGAACTTCAAGAAGTTTATGGAAAATGTGTATTATGAAATAACTCTGCATGGATTTCAAATTTTTATGCATCAAATTAAACTCATACTAACTTATTATAACATATTTCAACAGGAGCAAATTTGAGGCACTAAGGAGAAGACATTAGTTTTTTTTTAAAGCACCTATCAAAGTAGCATGAAATCTGCTATAATTGAAGCAAGAACAAACATCAGCTTATAGTAAAACTTGGATGGAAGAATGATGAATAATTGATACTTATGAAAAATTTTGGGGTGCAATTCCCAAAAGAAATGATCAATTTACAAATGGATAACTCATTTTAAGAAAGAACAAGATGATGTTGAAGATAAAGCATGTAGCAGCAGACTATCCACATCAATTTGGAAGAAAAAAAATGCATCTTGTTTGTGTCCTTATTGAAGATGTCTGATACTTAACAGCAGAAATAATAGCCATCTCAATTAGTTCAGTTTGCACAATTCTGACTGAAAAATTAAAGTTCAGCAAACTTTCCACTCAGTGGGTGCCAAAACAATTATTCCTAGATCAGCTGCAGACAAGAGCAGAGCTTTCAATGGGAATTTTAAACAAGTATGATCAAGATCCTGAAATATTTATTCCAAGTATTTTAATAGAAGATAAAACATGGATTACCAGTGCAATACTGAAGATAAAGAACAATAAAAGCAATGGCTACTGAGAGGTAGAAATGTTCCCATCAGCAGCAAATATTTCAACAACAATGTTTTGGGGGGATCTTCAAGGCATTTTGTTTGCTGACTTTCTGGAAGGCCAGAGAATAACATTTACTTATTATAAGTGTGTTTTGAGAAACTTAGCCTAAGACTAAGCAGAAAAATGCCCAGGAAAGCTTCACTAGAGGGTCCTTCTTCACCGTGACAATGCTTCTGTTCATTCTTCTAATCAAATAAGGGCAATTCTGTGAGAAGAGAAATAACTGGACATCCACCTTACAGTTTTGGCTTGGATTTTTCTGACTTCTTTTTCCCCTAATTTTAAAAACTCTTTAGAATGTAAATTTTTGTTCAGTTAGTAATGCTAAAAAGAGTGTATAACTATGGTTAAATTCCCACGATTCTCAGTTCTTTAGGGATAGACTAAATGATTTGTATCATCACTTAACAAAAATGTCTTGAGCTTGAAGGAATTTTTATTGAGAAAGTTTATATTTTTTATTTTTATTATTAATATTTAATTCCATTTTCTATGATTTTTGACATCCCCTGTTGTTGAAAAATTTTGCATCCATGTTCATAAAAATATTGGCCTATAATTTTTATTTGTTATAATATACTTGTCTGGCTTTTGTATCAGAGTAATGCTGGCCTCATTGAAAGAGTTTGGAAGTATTCTCTTCTCTTTGATTTTTTTTTGGAAGAGTTTGAGAAGCAGTGGTATGAATTTTTCTTTAAAAGTTTGGTAGAATTCAGTAGTGAAGCCATCAGGTCCAGGGCTATCCTTTAATGAGAAACTTTTTGCTACTGTCAATCTCTGTACTCATTATTAGTCTGCTCAGATTTTCTATTTCTTTTTGATTTAGTCTTGAGTAGGTGTATGTGTCTAGGAATTTATCCATTTTTTCTAGGTAATCCAATTTATTGACATATAATTGTTCATAGTAGTCCCTTATGATCTTTTTTATTTCTGTGGTATCAGTTGTAATGTACCCTCTTTTATTTATGATTTTATTCATTTGAAATTTCTTTTTCTCCTAGTGTAGGTAAAGGTTTATTAATTTTGTTTATCCTTTTGAAATATTAACTCAGTTTTGTTTATGGTTTGTATTATTTTCCTATTCTCTATTTCAGTTATTTCTGCTATGATCTTTATTATTTCTTTTCTTTTCCTAACTTCCAGCTTAGTTTATTCTTGATTTTTCTATGTCCTTGAGAAATATTGTTAAATTTTATTTCATATTTTTCTTCTTCTTGAGGTAGGCATTGATTGGATAAATGTTCCTTTTATAACAGATTTTCCTCCACCCCAATAGATTTGGTATGTAGTGTTTCCATTTTAATTTTTATCAAGTTTAAAAAAATATTTTACTTTTGTGGATACATAGTAGGTTTGTATATTTATGGGATACATAAAATGTTTTGATACAGGCATGGAATGACATAATGTAAAATGGGGTATCCATCTCCTCCAGTATTTATCCTTTGTGTTACAGACAGTCCAATTATACTCTTTTAGTCATTTAAAAATGTAAAATTAAATTATTATTTACTGTAGTCACTTTGTTGTGCTATCATATAGTAGGTCTTATTCATTTGTTCTATTTTTGTTTTTTACGAATTAATGATCCTCAACTTCCCCACAACACTCTATTCCCTTCCTAGCCTCTGTTAACCATCCTTCTACTCTCTGTCTCCATGAGCTCAATTGTTCTGATTTTTAGATTTCACAAATAAGTGAGAACATGTGATGTTTGTCATGTGCTGAGCTTCTTATATATTCTGGATATCCTTTGTCAGAGGGGTAGTTTACAAATATTTTCTCCCATCCTTGAGGTTGTCTCTTCACTCTATACTGATTATATTCTTTGCTGTGCAGAAGCTTTTTAACTTAATGTGATCCCATTTGTCCATGTTTGCTTTGGTTGCCTGTACTTGTGGGGTATTACTCAAAAATCTTTGCCCAGACCAATGTCCTGAAGAGTTTCCCCAATGTTTTCTTGTAGCAGTTTCATAGTTTGAGGTCTTAGATTTAAGTCTTTAATCCATTTTGATTTGGTTTTTGTATATAGTGAGGGATAGGGGTCTAGTTTCATTATCTTGCCTATGAATATCCAGTTTTTCAGCACCATTTATTGGAGACTGTCTTTTCCTCAGTGTATGTTCTTGGCACCTTTGTCAAAAATGAGTTCATTGTAGGTGTGTGGATTTGATTCTGGGTTCTCTATTCTGTTCCATTGGTCTATGTGTTTATGTGTCTGTTTTTACTCCAGTATCATGCTGTTTTGGTTACTATAGCTCTGTAGCATAGACTGAAGTCAGGTAATGTGATTCTTCCAGTTTTGTTCTTTTTACTTAGAATAGCTTTGGCTATTCTGGGTCCTTTGTGGTTCCATATACATTTTAGGATTTTTTTCAATTTCTGTGAAGAATGTCATAGGTGTATTGATAGGAATTGTACTGAATCTGTAGATTGCTTTGGGTAATATGGGCATGTTAACAATATTTATTTTCCCAGTTCATGAACATGGAATATCTTTCAATTTTTTGGTGTACTCTTCATTTTCCTTCATCAGTGTTTATAGTTTTAATTATAGAGATCTTTCACTTCTTTGGTTAATTCCTAGGCATTTAATTTTATTTGTGGCTATTGTAAATGGTATTACTCTTTCTATTTCTTTTTCACATTGTTCAGTGTTGGCATATAAAAATGCTACTGATTTTTGTATGTTGATTTTGTATACTGCAAGTTTACTTAATTTATCAGTTCTAATAGTTTTTTTGTGGAGTCTAGGTTTTTCCAAATGTAAGATCACATCATATGCAAGCAAGGATAATTTGATTTCCTCCTTTCCAATTTGGATGCCCACTATTTCTTTTTCATGTCTGATTGCTCTAGCTAGGACTCTCAGTACTATGTTGAATAACAGTGGTGACAGCGGCATCTTTGTCATGTTCCAGATCTTAGAGAAAAGGCTTTCAGTTTTTTCCATTCAGTTTCCCACTAGCTGCGGGTCTGTTGTCTACGGCTTTTATTATGTTGAGTTATGTTCCTTCTATACTCAATGTTTTAATGTTTTCTATCATGAGGTGATGTTGAATTTTATCAAAAGCTTTTTCAGTATCAATTGAAATATATGATTTTTATCCATCATTCTGTTGATATGATGTATCACATTGATTGACTTGCATATATTGAACCATCCTTGCATCCCAGGGATAAATCTTAGTTATAATAAATGATATTTTAAATGTATTGTTGAATTTGATTTGCTAGTATTTTGTCAAGGATTTTCCTATCAATATTCATCAGAGGTATTTTCTTGTATTTTTTTTTTTAGTGTGTCTCTGTCTGGTTTTGGTATCAGGATAATACTGGCCTTGTAGAATGCATTTGGAAGTCTTCCCTTGTCTTCCATTTTTCTGAATAGTTTGAGTAGGATTGTTATTAATTTTTTTTACATGTTTGGAATAGTTCAGCAGTAAAGCTATTGGGTTCTGGGCTTTTCTTTACTGGGAGACATTTTACTATGGCATTAATCCCATTATTTGTTTGATCTGTTCAGAGTCTGAATTTCTTCATGGTTCAGTCATAGTAGGTTGCATCTTTCTAGGAATTTGTCCATTTTTTTCTAGATTTTCTGATTTATTGGCATATAGTTACTCATAGTGGGCACTAAGGATCCTTAGAATTTCTGAGCTATCAGTTATAATATCTTTTTTTAATCTCTGATTTTATGTACTTAGATCTCCCATTTTTTAAAATTGTCTAGCTAAAGGTTTGTCAATTTTGTTTAACTTTTCAAAAAACCAACTTTTTGTTTCTTTGATCTTTTGTATTGTCTTTTTTTCATTTCATTTATTTTTGCTCTGATTTTTATGTTTATTTTCTTCTGCTAATTTTGGATTTGGTTTGCTCTTCCTTTTCTAGTGCTTTAAGATGCATTGCTAGATTGTTTATTTGAAAATTTTCTTCCTTTTTGATGTATGCACTTGTAGCTATAAACTTCCCTCTTAGTACTGCTTTTGCTGTATCTGATAGGTTTTGGCATGCTGTATTTCAATTATTTGTTTTAAGAAATTTTTCAATTTCCTTTTTAATCTCTTCATAGACCCACTGGTGACTGGGGAGCATATTGTCTAATTTTCATGTATTTTTATAGTTTCCAAAATTCCTCTCGTTATTAGTTTCTAGTTTTATTCCATTGAGGTCAGAGAAGATACTTGATATTATTTCAATTTTTTAAAATGTTTTGTGGGCTAACATATGGTCTTTCCTTGAGAATAATCCATGTGCTGAGGAAAAGAATGTGTATTCTGCAGCTCTTGGTTTGAATGATCTGTAAATATCTATTAGATCCATTTGGTCTATAATGCAGATTTAGTCTTATTTTGTTGTTGTTGTTGATTTTCTGTTTGGAAGATCTGTCCATTGCTGAAATTGAGGTGTTGAAGTCTCCAGCTATTATTGTATTGGGGCCTATCTCTCTCTTTAGCTCTAATAAAATTTGCTCTATATATCTTGGTGCTCCAGCTTTGGGTGCATATATATTTAAAATTGTTGTATCCTCTTGAAGAATTGGACCCGTTATCATTATACAGTGACCTTCTTGGTCTTTTCTTACACATTTTGTCTTAAAGTCTATTTTGCTGAATACCAGTGTAGTGACTTCTGCTCTTTTTTGGTTTCCATTGGCATGGAATATCTTTTCCATACCTTTATTTTTGGTCTAGGTGTGTCTTTATAGGTGAAATGTATATCTTGTAGGCAATAGATCTTTCAGTCATGGTTTTTAATCCACTCAGTTACTCTATGTCTTTTGATTAGAGAGTTTAGTTCATTTACATTTAATGTTGTTATTGATAAGTAAGGACCTACTCCTGCCATTTTGTTGTTTTCTGGCTGTTTTGTGGTCTTCTCTTCCTTCTTTCCTTCCTTCCTGTTTTCCTTTCAGTGAAGGTGATTCTTTCTGGTGACATGATTTAGTCTTTTGCTTTTTATTTTGTTCTGTACTCATATGTTTTTTGCCTTGAGGTGACCACAAGGCTTGCCAATGCTATCTTGTAACCCATTATTTTAATCTGATAATGACTTAACACTGTTTGCATAAACAAGAAAACAAACAAGCAAAGGATCTACACCTTAACTTTGTTCCCCTGTTTTTTAACTTTTTGTTGTTTCTATTTATATCTTATCATACTGTCTATATCTTGAAAAGTTATAGTTCTCATTTCCAATTGGTTTTTTAGTCTATTTAAGATAAGTTTACACACCACAGTTTCAGTGTTCTAATATCCTCTCTTTTTTTTGACCACTTACTATTGCCAGTGAGTTTTGTATCTTCACATGATTTCTTATTGTTCATTAACATCCTTTTCTTTCTGATTGAAGTACTATGCCCTTTATCATTTGTATTAGGACAGTTCTGGTGTTATTAAAATTTCTCAGATTCTGTTTGCCTGGAAAAGTCTTTATTTCTTTTTTACATTTGAAGGATATTTTCACTGGATATACTATTCTAGGGTAAAAGCTTTTTTCCTTCGGTACTTTAAATACGTCATGCCACTCTCTCCTGTCATGGAAGGTTTCTACTGAGAAGTCTGCTATCAGGCATATTGGAGCTCCATTATGTCATTTGTTTCTTTCGTCTTGCTGCTTTTAGAATCCTTGCTTTATCTTAGACCCTTGGGAGTTTAAGGGATTATAAAATGCCTTGAGGCAGTTTCCTTTGACTTAAATCTGCTCGTTGTTGTCTAATCTTCTCATACTTGGATATTGACATTGTTCTCTAGGTTTGGGAAGTTCTCGATTATCCCTTTGAATAAACTTTCTACCCCTATCTCTTTCTCTACCTCCTCTTTAAGGCCAATAACTCTTAGATTTGCTTTTTTGAGGCTATTTTCTATAATGGATCCTGTAGGCCTGCTTCTTTTTTTAATTCTTTTTCTTTTGCCTCCTCTGACTGTGTATTTTCAAATAGCTTCTCTTCAAACTCACTGATTCTTTTTTTTGCTCGATCAGTTTTTACTAAAAGACTAAAAGATGCATTCTTCAGTAGGTCAATTGCATTTTTCAGCTCCAGAATTTCTGCTTGATTCTTTTTAATTATTTGAATCTCTTTGTTGTAATAAATTTGTCTGATGGAACTCTGAATTCCTTCTCTGTGTTCTCTTGAATTTCTTTGAGTTTCTTCAAATAGTTATTTTGAGTTCTCTGTATAAAAGGTCACATATCTCTGTTTCTCCAGGATTTGTTCCTGGTGCCTTATTTAGTTTATTTGGGGAGGTCCTGTTTTCCTGGATGATCTTGATACTTGCATATGTTCATCTGTGTTTGGGCATTGAAAAGTTAGGTATTTATTGTAGGCTACTCAGTCTGGGCTTGTTTGTACCATTCATTCTTGGGAAGGTTTTCCAGATATTCTAAAGAACTTCGGTATTGTAATCTAAGCTGTACCTGCTTCAGGGACCCATTAATACTGTAGCTCTTGCAGACTCATAGAGGTACCACCTTGATGGTTTTGGACAAGATTGAGAGAATTCTCTGGATTAAAAGGTAGAGACTTTTGTTGCTTCCTTTAATTTCTTCCAATTAAAGTATCTCTTTCTGTTCTGAGCCAGCTGGAGCTAGGGGTGGAGCATTCCTCTGGACATCACCAGTACAACTGTGCTGTGTCAGACCTGAAGCCAGCACAGCACTGAGCCTCATCCAATATTTTCAGTAACTACTCTCTGGCTTCCACCTATGTTTGCTCAATGCCCTGGGACTCTACAATCAGCAAGTGGCATAGCCAGCCAGATCTTTGTCCTTCCCTTCAGGGTGGTGAGTTTCCCTAGACTCCAGGAAAGTTCAGAGGTGCTGTTTTGGAGCCAGGGACTAAAGTCAAAAATGTTACAAGTCCACCTGGTGTACTATTGCACTGTGACTGAACTGAGACTCAAATCACAAGACACAGTCCTTCTAACTCTTCTCTCCCCTTTGCAAGGGCAGAGGAGCCTCATTCCATGGCTACCCCACCACAGGCACACAGGGAGTACTGCAGGAATACCGCCAGTGTTTCCTTAAGGTCCAAGGGCTCTCCCGTCAGCTTGTGGTGAATGCTACCTGGCCTGGGATTTATCCTTCAGGGCAATGCCCCCTGACTGCCTCAGGGCAGATCCAAAAATGCTATCCAAGATGCAAGTCCTGGAACTGGGGACTCCAGGAGCCCACCTGACGCTTTACCTGCTGTGGTTGAGCTGGTACCTAAGGTGCATGACAAAGTCCTTTTTACTTTTCCCTCCACATTTCTCAAGCAGACAAAATCTCATCCTATAGTCACCACAGCTGGCAATGTGCTGAGTTTCAACTGAAGCCAGGAGGTCTCAGAGGTTCACCCAAGGCCTTCAATGTAGTACCTGGTATCACTGCTGATTATTCAGGGTCCAAAGGCTCTTCAGTTAGAAGGTGATGAATCCTGCCAGAACTGGATCCTTCCCTTAAGGTGGCGGATTCCCTTAGGGTCCACAGTGTCTCTAGAAATGCCATCAGGAGCCATGACCTGGAAAGGGGGCCTCACGACTTTGACCAGTGTTCTATCCTGCTGTGGATGAACTGGTATCCAAGATGCAAGACAAAGCCCTCCCAACTATTTTCTTTCCTAAAGCGGAGGGAGGGGGTCTCTTTTGGAACCATGAGCTGTGATTTATCCCATAGAGTAGTCCATATGGGAAGAATCTGAGGTTGGCCTTCTTTTAACAGCCAGGAAGAAACTGAAGGCTCTTGCAAAACAGAATCTTTCCAGCAATTCCAGAATAAGTGGATAGTGGATACTTTCCCAGTCAAACTTTGAGATAACTGCAGTCCTAGCTGGCACCTTGATTCCTGCTTGTGAGAGACTGTAAATTGGAGGATCCAGTTAAGTGGTATATTACTTCCTGATTTACAAAGATTAAGATAATAACTGTTAATGTTTTTAGACACTAGTATTAGGGTAATGTGTTACACAGTGATAAAGAACTACTTCAGCCAGGCATGGTGGCTCACGCTTGTAATCCTAGCACTTTAGGAGGCTGAGGCAGGTGGATCACCTGAGGCCAGGAGTTTGAGACCACCCTGTCCAACATGGTGAAACCCTGTCTCTACTAAAAATACAAAAATTAGCCAGGTGTGGTGGTGGGTGCCTGTAATCCCAGCTACTCAGGGTGCTGAGTCAGGAGAATCGCTTGAAACCGGGAGGTGGAGGTTGCAGTGAGCTGAGATCGCGCCACTGCACTCCAGCCTGAGCAACAGAGTGATACTCTGTCTTAAAAAAAAAAAAAAAAAAAAAAGAACTACTTCAACTTTACTGCACAATATTTATATGAAAATATTACTTTTAAAATTAGAAAATAATGCTTTTGACATAGAAGAGACAATGTGATTTTAAAGATAATACACTTTAGTAAAATCCATTTGTTGTAATCCACTTATGCTGCAATCCACTTATGCTGCTGTAACGAAATGCCACTAACTGGGAAATTTGTACATATTAACAAGAGAAATTTATTTCTCATAGTTCTGGAAGCTGAGAAATCCAACAAGATCAAGGTGCTTGTTGGTGAGGGCCCAGTCTCTGTTTTCTCAGATGGCACCTTGTTGCTCCATCTTCTGGAGGGGAGGAATGCTGTGTCCTTACATGGTGGAAGGGACAGAAGGGGCAAAAAGGGACCACATTCCCTCTGTCAAGCCCTTTTATTATGGTATTAATCCATTCATGAGAGGGGCACCTTCATGACCTAAATGCCTCTCAAAAGCCCCCACCTTTAAACACTGTTGCATTGGGGATTAAGTTTTCAACACATGAATTTTGGGGAACACATTCAGACTGTAGCATTCTGCTCTTAGCCCCCAAAATGAATGTTCTTATCACATGCAAAATACATTTATTCCATCTCAATAGCTCCAACAGTTTTTTTTTTTTTTTTTGAGATGGTGTCTCACTTTGTCACCCAGGCTGGAGTGCAGCGGCATGATCTTGGCTCACTGCAACCTCTGCTTCCCAGGTTCAAGCGATTCTCCTGTCTCAGCCTCTCTAGTAGCTGGGACTAGAGGCGTGCACCACCATACCCAGCTAATTTTTGTATTTTTAGTAGAGACGGGGTTTCACCATATTTTCCAGGCTGGTCTCGAATTCTTGATCTCAGGCATTCTGCCTGCCTCAGCCTCCCAAAGTGCTGGGATTACAGGCATGAGCCACCGTGCTGGCCCAAAAGTTTTAACTCATTAAGATATCAACTCAAAAGTCTAAGGTTCAGAGTCTCATTTTAATCAGAAATGAGTAAGACTCAAGGCATGATTCAGCCTGAGGAAAATTTACTTGCAGCTGTGAGCCTGTTTAAATTAAACAAGTTACCTGCCTTCAAAATACAATAGTGGGACAGGCATAGGATAGACATTCCCATTCCAAAAGAGAGAAATAGGCAAGAAGAAAGTGGTAGCAAGTCCCAAGTAAGTCCAAAGCTCAATAGGACAAACACAATAAAATCTTAAGGCTTGAGAATAATCTTTTTGACTCCATTTCCTGCCTTGTGGATACACTGGTGTGGGGGGTTGGGCCTCCAAGGACTTGGGAAGTCCCATCTCTCTGACTTTGCTGGGTGCAGCCCATATTTCAGCTCTCACACACTGAAGGTGCATTCCTGCAGCTTCCCAGGCTGATGCTGTACACTGGTGACTACAGTGCTGGAGGCCTGAGGGTGACCCAATCCCCACAGCTACACTAGACATTGCCTAGTGGGGACTCTCTAGAGTGGCCTCATCCATTGCTCCATTAGACATTGCCCTAGCAGAGACCCTCTGCAGTGGCCCTAACTCTATGGCTCTGCTAGGCATTGCCCTAGTGGGGACTTTATTCAGCACCCCTGGCTCTGTGACAGTTCTCTGCCTGGGCACCAAGGATCTCTGAGGCATCCTTTGAGATACAGGTGCAGACAGCCATGCTCCCACAGCTCACACACTGTGTGCACCTACAGAATTAGCACCATGTGGAGGCTGCCAGATTTTACTATGTGCATCCTCCAGACAAGTGGTTCAAGCTCCACCTGGGCCCATTTGTGTCATAGCTGAGGTGGTCATGGAGCACTGCACCAGAATGCAGGGAGTGGAGATTTGAGGTGGCCCTGGGTATCCAGCCCTGAGGTCCCATGGGTGTCCTAGGCTTCTCCCTTAAAACCATTCTGCCTTCAAAACCCTGGCACTCTGGGCCTATGATGAGAAAAGCAGCTTCAAAGATCTCCAAAATGCTTTTAGAGTCATTTACGAATTTGTATAGGAATTTTCCACTGTCTCAATGGATAGCATCTTGCTTCCTTCTATCCTTGCTATTCTCCTTATCAAGCATTTCATTTGGTCATACCCTTGGTATTTTCTCCCAAATAAGCCTTTTTTTCTTTATATGGCCAGGCTGAGAATTTTCCAAATCTTTATGTCCTGCTTCCCTATTGATTATATATTTCACCTTTAACTCATTTTTCTCCTCTGGCATTTTACTACAACAGACCAGAAGAAGACACATAGCACCTTCAATACTTTGCTGCTTTGTGATTTATTCCAGCACAAATCCTAGTTTATCACTCTCCAGTTTTGCCTTCCACAAAGTCCTAGCTTACAGACAAAATTCAGTCAAATTCTTTGCCACTTTAGAGCAAGGATGGCTTTTCCTCTAGTTTCTAATACCTTGTTTCTCATTTCCATCTGAGACCTCATCAGAATAGTGTTTACTATCCTTATTTCTACCA
This sequence comes from Homo sapiens, assembly GCF_000001405.40. NCBI lineage: Eukaryota > Metazoa > Chordata > Mammalia > Primates > Hominidae > Homo > Homo sapiens. Next base: position 39,306,892 of record NC_000008.11, read on the forward strand.
GCAATTTGTTTATGACAATTTAAGTACTATCTATGAAGAACGAGATTTTTTCCTACCTCTCTTCTCTTTCGAACTCTCACTAGAATGTTTTTAATGCTCCATTTACAAATTTTCTAGCTTGTATATTTTTCACTTCAAAACTGTTCTAACCTCTACCCATTACCCAGTCTCAAAGCTGCTCCCCCAGTTTTAGGCACTTGTTATACAACACCCCACTTATCTGGTACCAATTTCTCTTAGTCCCTTAGTGCTTCTATAACAAAATATCAGATACTGGGTAATTTATAAAGAACAGAAATTAATTTTTTTCACAGTTCTCGAGGCTGGGAAGTGCAAGATCAAGACTGGAAGGTCTGGGTGTCTGGTGAGGGCTGTTCTCTGCTTCCAAGATAATGCCTTGTTGCTGCAGCTTCTGAGTGGGAGAAATACTGTGTCCTCATTTAGCAGAAGGGATGAAAGGAGTGATAAAAGGAGCAAACTGTCTCTATTACAAGCCCTTTTATAACGGCATTAACCCATTCTTGAGGGCTGCCCTCATGACCTAAACAGCTCCAAAATGTCTCCCCCTCTCCAAGATTATTGCACTGGGTATTGAGTCTCCAACATGTGAATTTGGGGAGGACACATTCAGGTCATAGTGATATAGGAGTTAAGAAGAAATTATTAGGCAGGCGGATCACGAGGTCAGGCGATTGAGACCATCCTGCCTAACACGGTGAAACCCCATCTCTACTAAAAAATACAAAAAATGAGCCGGGCATGGTGGCGGGCGCCTGTAGTCCCAGCTACTTGGGAGGCCGAGGCAGGAGAATGGCGTGAACCTGGGAGGTGGAGGTTGCAGTGAGCCAAGATCGCGCCACTGCACTCCAGCCTGGGCGACAGAGCGAGACTCCGTTGCAAAAAAAAAAAAAAAAAAAAAGAAAAGAAAAAGAAGAAATTATTTAGGCAAATAGTAACGGTAAGGAAGTCCTCAGTAAGATTTTCCTTTTAACAAATAGCAGCCCCAGATCATTTTCTTTTCTAACAGAGAGCAGCCTGTAAAATCGAAATGCAAACATAAAAAGGAAAGCTAGAAGCTTGCACAGGTGAATGCTGTCAGATGTGCCAATAGGAAAGTGGCTACCTGGGGACTAAGCATGTTCAAAATGGTGGCTCCATCTTCCCCTTTCCTTGTCGGCCACGTGCACAGTAAGGAGCAGGCAACATAGCACTGGCCAAGTAGAGAATCCATTTGCATAATAAAAGATTAGGGTGGGGTGGCTAGCTTCCCAGTGCATTATGTAAACATCACACCTGGTCCAACCAATCTTTGGGCCCTATGTAAATCAGACACACCAACTCAATCCTGTTTATAAAGCCCTGTGCATTCCGAAGCGGGTCGGAAGTCCCATTCCGGCTTTCCCCTCTCTCATAAGAGAGAGAGCTGTTCTCTTTTCTCTTTCTTTTGCCTATTAAACCTCCGCTCCTAAACCTGCTTCTTGTGTCTGCATACTCAATTTCCTTGGTGCAAGACGGTGAACCTCAGGTATTTACCCTAGACAATGATGCCACTTCAATAAGACAGTTAAAAATTTAAAACAAACAAATTTCAAAGGATAAAAAGCAGATCTGATGTGATACATCTTTAGAAACCATTTCCAACATACTTAATAGAAGTCATGTTGTCATTCTTCATTGGAAATTTGGATGCCATTAAGATGTTTCTTATATTTAAGAATGTCAAAACTGTTCCTTATTTATTGGAAAAATAAACAATAACTCACATATAGATAATGTACACCTTTCTATAAAAGCATGTGGTTATATTTCAGACTCAGATTTACAGCTGTATGGACTTGGAAGTTAGTTTTTGAAATCATATCTTGCAGAAGCAAAATCAAATATATTACATATTTATCTAGAGAAAAACCTATGTTAACATAATGGTTATACATCCACAAATTGATGTTATATAACATTGTAAAAAATGGATATTTATTTGTCCATCAATGATAAACTGGATTAAGAAAATGTGGCACATATACACCATGGAATACTATGTAGCCACAAAAAAGGATGAGTTCATGTCCTTTGTGGGGACGTGGATAAAACTGGAAACTATCATTCTCAGCAAACTATCACAAGGACAGAAAACCAAACACTGCATGTTCTCACTCATAGGTGGGAATTGAACAATGAGAACACTTGGATACAGGGTGGGGAACATCACACACCAGGGCCTGTTGGGGGCTGGGGGGCTGGGGGAAGGATAGCATTAGGAGAAATACCAAATGTAAATGACGAGTTGATGGGTGCAGCAAACCTACATGGCACGTGTATACCTATGTATCAAACCTGCACGTTGTGCACATGTACCCTAGAACTTAAAGTATAATAATAATAATAATAAGAAGAAGAAATTAAAAAAAACCCGGGATATTTATGAAATTCTGCATTTTTTCAGGTTGTATTAGTAACCAAAGCAGTTGACCTCTGGGAATTGAATAATTGAGAACTGCTCAAAGGACCTCAACTATACAAGTATTTATAAAATATGTACAATAATACTTCAAATATACCTATCTCATGTTTTTGAGGACTTTTAATTTTTTTATCTGAATTCTTCCAGAATAGAATAGAAATAAATCTTCACACTCCATTAGAAAACATTCCTGGTGTGGTAATTATGTCTCAGTCTCTCAGATTGTGGTTTTATAATCTATTATTCAATGATCATTTATTATTAAATATTCAGCTAATGGATATGCCACAGAAAACTTATAGTAAAGTAAGTGTATTTTAATCTATTTAATAAAAATATTCCATGGCTTTAATTTAAACGTATATCTGAAAATCTAGAATACATTTCTTTTTTAAAGTGAAAACTGTAACAGCATGCAATGATCTTCCTTATATGTATCCAATTTTGTTTTAAAATGAAACCGCCATTCAGTAAGCACACGAGTTAGTATTTAAGAAAGACAAGAAAATAATGGATTGTCAATCTATCTTCCTTAATTTCAGTGAAGTATTTATCATTTGTAGAATTTACTCTCAGGAGGACTATATTCATTGCAATTGGTAAAGACTGCCATGAATAACTACTTAGACACATACATGAAGGTATTTGCTTATGGTTTCCGGATATCTGGATATTTGGTGAGCCTCATAAGTTCGTAATATCCAAGAACTTTTCTTTTTTTCATAAGTTCAAGAAAGGGCCAAGAGTCTCACGGGCTTCTTACGTGTTGCTGGATGCTCAGGAGGAGGCTGTGAGGACGAAGGCATCCTTTCCATTCAGTTTACTGCTGGTGTCTCTCATTTCAGAAATGCTTTCTGTAAGAATATGTCCAATCCTATCTTTAAGTGATGAAAATCTAAGGTAAGCTTTTCAGATCCCAGTCTTTTATGTTTCTATCAGTTTTCTAATTTTTTCTGTCTGTAAGTTAATGGTGATAGAAGATTCCGTTTATGGGAGCTGAATATTTAGCTAATGTAGAAGTAGCTTCTTCATAACATTTAATGGAGTCAAACATATTTGGTATAAATTTTAACTTCTTTGAAGAAATCCTGAAATACCCAATTGGATTTTAGGATGGATTTTCCTATTTTTGCAAAAAACAAAAATAGTAAACAAAAACCAAAACCCCAAAAAACAAACAAAAAAAGACAAACAACAACAAAACCACTTGGGATTTGGATAGGGACTGTATTGAACCTGTAGATAGTTTTTGGTAGTACTGTCACCTTAACAATATTAAATCTTCCAATCTGTGAACATGAGATGTTTCCATGTCTTTATGTTTTCTTTATTTACTGACGTGTTCTCTGTGGACACAGATGAAGAGAGATTTCACACCCAACATTATAACCAGCTAGTGCTGGTCTACAATACATTTCAGCTAGAATGACAGCTATTTGCATGCAGTAGGTTAACTCCAGGAGGAATTAAAGAGAGGAATTTTGTTTTTTCCAGCCACTGCATTTGCAAGTCTCTCTCTCTCCAATTTATTGGCCTAGCCATGCAGGTTCACTTTCCTGAATCCAGATGAACTGCCTAGATCCTTTGTCTAGCCCTGCCAACCTCAGGCATACATATGCCTTCTCCAAAGACAGACAACAGGTGCAAAAATGTGTTTTCTGAACAGGCATTGTGGAATCATGGATAATTAGCTGCTGAAGAATTTGCTTTCTGCATAAACCAAATTAGAATTAGCTAAAGTGATAACACCCTTTCTGCTTTATGGATATAACATAAAGAGGGACCCATTGCAATCTATCTGTCAGTGATAGTATGGGTCAATAATTTTAGGAAACAGAGGATGCCTGGAGCAAGAACTAATTTGTAGCTAACTTCACACTCATGAGCTACTTGAAGGTGTTCTCAAGCTGCCATAGGAACCATCTTGGCTGGGCCCCACAAAAGGCAATATTCTTTTCTTCATGCACATTTTATTCACTCCTTTTCTTCATTGTTTTCAGTGTGTTTGTCGTGTCAGAGAGCCTATAGGTTTTGTCTGCCCATCAACCGTATTGTTCAAGGTCAATATATTCTAGAAATGTGGTGGGCATCCATATAGGAAATTAGTTTTTCAATTCTATTAGAAATGTCAGAAACTTGAATGTATAGGAATTAGGCCAGCTCAATGCTGATCAAATTTCTCCAACCATTAGAATGCCAGACAGGTTAGCTAAACTATTAGGCACAGACAAGTAACAGAAATTATAAGGAGCAGCCTGATGGAACTTTAGCATCCAGGTACATTTCATGAGTACTGTCTTCAGTTCTGCCTACTTGACTAGGCTCCTTCACCTTTCTCTTTAAATCTATGTCAACAGACTGTATTCTATGTGCTTGCCATCCTTACGCATTTGGACATGAGGGTGATGGAGCCAGCCATAAATCATATAGCAGCTTTAAGGTCCTAGAAAAGCATTTCATAAGAGGTGAGGTCCCAGGATACCAGCGATTTCTTTATGGAGAGATAAACCTCATGCATCATTTCAACATCACTCTCATTTCCCTGTACAACTTTAGGGGTTTTCAGGTTGCACGTGACCTAATTCAGGTTAGGCATCTTGGGTTGTGGAAAGACTTGGTGAAATTTGTTTGCCACTCTAGCAACATCTAGCAACAAAAATTCAAAGTTTGTATACATTATGGCAGGTTCGGGGGGACTGTACCTTTTTACCACCTAAAAGACCTGTTAAAACACCATACCACCTCATCCTCAAAGAATGACACCTGAAGAATCATATCTAAACCTGGTTGATAAGGACCCGAAGGACTAGAAGACATTATTGCAGGCAGAATTCTAAAGATATTCCTTCAAAATTCCTGTTCCCTAGTTAAAACTAGGTATTTCTGTGAGGGAACTTTGTAAATGTAATTAAGGTTGATAATCAGTAGACATTAAGATAGGGACATTATCTTGAGTAAATGCTATAATTCTAAGGTAACCACTAAAAAATTTAAAAACTACATAGCTGTCATGTCAATAAAGTAGGAAAATAAAATAATAATGATCAATCCAAAAGAAGGCAAGAAAGGAGAGGAAAAATAGGACAGGGCAAATGGAAAGTTAATGGTAATTACGATCCAACTATATCAATAATTCCTTAATATTAAATTGACTGGTTCACTTAATATATAGTGATTATCAATATAATTGAAAACATATAAACTCAATTACATGCTTATTCTTTAAAATTGGTGAAATATTATAAAACCTAGGACATGATCATTTTGTAAATATTTTGTGGGTGGTTGGGAAGAATGTGTATTCTCTATGGTTGATCTAGAATTGTACAAATGTTTACTAGATCATACTTATTTGAGTCATCCAACTCTCATATATTTTTGTTAAATTTTGCCTGCTTGATCTATAAATAATTATAAGAGATGTGTTTCAATCTCCAATCCTGATGATACTTTTGCCAGCTTTCCCCTATACTCCTATCAATTTTTGTTGATACATTTTAAAGCTATTTAGTTATATAAATACATGTTAGAATGTTTCAAATTGAGAACATTATCATTTTGACATTGCCCCTCTCCATTCTTCCCATCATAGTCATATTGTCTAAAAGTATGCTTCTAGATTATTAGATATATATGTTTTCATTATTTGATGTAGTATTTTTCTCTCACATATAAACAAACTCTGGAAAGATATTTGATTGCTGTTACTGTGACATCATTTAATATAATCTTCTGTTTTCCTTATCATGTGGTTTCTTCTACGAAATGCCTTTCTGATATGTATTTTTACGTCAAATTTTATTTGAATTTATATATTGAAGAGAATTTTAAAACTCATGCCCTCACATTTGAATAATATTTCAGATTTCTTTTCAGTTAACAATTTAATAATATTAACCCATTGATTTCATGTGTTCAGTATGGCTATGAATGTTGATTTGATTCTTGTTCCTTGGTAGGCAACCTGTTCTTTTCCTTTAGAAGATTCTAGGATTTTCTCTTTGTTATCATTTTAAATTTCAGGTGTGTGTGTGTGTGTGTGTGTGTGTGTGTGTGTGTGTGTTTTCCTCTTCAATGCCCAGTTTGCAATCTCTGGGTTCTTTCAATCTAAGGTCATTCTCTAACTTTTTAAATGTACAGAAACTTTTTCCATTATTTCTTTAAATATTTCCTCCTATTTTGATTTTTCTCTTTTTTGGTGGGGAAATGCTATTCTCTAGATACAGGCAGTTCTATTTCTATTTTCCATATAACTTAATTTTATTTTTGCATTCCTACTTTTTTTCTTTCCTTGTTCTTTTCTGTCAGAGTTTGCCAACCTGATATTCCAAATTTCTGCTTCATTAAGCAATTGTATCCATTCTACTATTAATTTCATGTCTTGTGACTTTACTTCTTTGTCTCTTGGTTCTTTTTTTAAATATTTTTGTTATTGTTCTGCTGATAACGTCCCTTAGATTTGCATCCAAGTAATTTCAAAGCGTATTTATAAACACGCTTTCAGATTTTTACTGAAAATTTACAGTTAATGTGGGGATGTGGCTGTATTTTAGTGTATTTAATATGATGTGTGCTAGGACCTGCAAAGGAAAGAGTGCCTATGGACCCCAATAAACTAAACTGTTTCTGCTTCTGCTAGAGGCAGAATTTTAAAAGGTCTGAATAAAGAAGTAAAAGCTAGGGATTGCAGGATTACACAGAATGTAGCAGTAATAGTTTGGGACATTAGAGAAGATTTGTTGGAAGTCCGTCTGAGCAGGGACTGTATGGGCTGTTCGGCATTCAATAGCTGTCCTATAATGGTGTCCCCAGCCATGGAATGTTAAAATCACAGCGTTTGCAACATTTTCTGCAAACATGCATTTTGCCTGGTTCTAGCTAAACTGTTTGCATGGTATATTAATGTAATGGGAAGAAACTTGATTGCTGTCAGTAACCAGAATATGTTTATATTTGTTTCTTTTCTCACTGTAACTGGAAGTTAATTAAAAAAGCGATGGTCTAAGTAAAAGATATAAGCAAAAGCGTCACCAGGCACCACCCTAACCTGAGAATTGACAATTAGGAATCCTTTCTTTTTTAACAATAAACTGACTGGCGTATCAATGCTGAGACGCTTCTCTTGAGTGCTCAGCTGCCTGCCAGCAGCGCGTTACCTACTTCCAATCACCTCCCGCTTCGTCTGTGCGCTTTTCCTCTCCGCAGCCTTCCTGGGCCGCCTCACGCGCGCTCAGCCCTGCGCGAGCTGCGCCTCTCCAGCTCTCAACGTCTCAACTGCTGTTCATCGCCAGGGCTCTAAGACAGCGAGCCATGTTCCTTCTTCTGGTGCTTCTCACTGGACTTGGTGGGATGCATGCAGACCTCAGTAAGTCCAGGAATCCAGGCTTCCGAGGGAGACCTTGTTCACTCTTTCCACGGCCCAGGTCCAGCCCAGACTTTACCCTGGCTCCACGCTCTCCCGCTTTCTCCTGGCCCCTTGCTTCAAGGTCTGTGGCCAAAAAGGCAGAGAGGCAGCCTCCGACAGAAAATCGTTTAACTTCTCTGGGATGGCTTCCTGATGCGGAAAATGAACAAAAATGAAATATGTGGTTTTTTCCACATACAAAATTCTGCTACTCTACGAATAATTGCATCACTGTAAAAAAAGCTATCTATCAAGGATTTACTGATTTGGCAACTGTTATCCTCCACCTGCCCCATTGAAAAGTGCAGATCATCCTTGTATTCAATATTCTATATTTGTCCCTGCAAAACCTTTCTTGATGCATCTGTGTTTTCTCATTTCCACATCTGTTTATAACACTGAATCTGGTACTTAGTGTTAACTTAGCTGTGCCAGTGCCAACTGTGCGTGTGTGTGTGTGTCTGTGTGTGTGTTGAGAGAGGGATTTGCAGGGGAGAATGGGAATAAAAATTTGAGATCTTGACCAGGGGTCAGAAATTTGTAGGTAAGAATGACTAGAAAGACAGTGGAAAGGGCGAGATGTGTAGATTATTTTAAAAATAGCTGCTAATGTAGAGAAACAAATGCAGAATCAGAGTTAGAAATGAATAACATAAGACCACAGGTATCAAAATAACATAGTTTATATTTATTTTTAGATCCTCATAAAATCTTCCTGCAGACCACAATTCCAGAGAAGATTTCATCATCGGATGCAAAAACAGATCCAGAACATAATGTAATTTTAATAATATTTTTACTATGAAATGTTGTTCAAGTTGCGTTTAATGTCAAGACCAAAGGTGCTGAATGTGGGCAGGATTGCACTTCTTGGAGGCAGAGCTGACAGCTGAGAACAGGTTCACAAGAGGGAGCATTTTGATGTTTACGAATGTGTGAGACTGTGTGTGTGTGTTTCTGTTGATGATGAAGGATTTTAGGGATAAGATCCCTTGGGGCCAAAATGCTAGGTATAGGATCCCCCAAGTTTGAAATTTAAGGAGGTAGCAGAAAACTTGGATCCCCCCAGGACCAGGATTAGGGTGAGGCAAGTGAAATGAATCATGTAACTACAGGATCAGATCCTGTCTGTCTTGAAAATTTTGGTATTTTTTTCATCATGGTGTTTTTTTGCATTGATTTTTAAAAAGGTTGCATTAAGATATGATTTATCTTGATAACTGAGTTTTCTGGTATCCTAGTTCTAGCCCTAGTGATCCCCTAGTGATTTGTCTTAGCTTTTACTAAGTCAGTGAGGATCTGAATAGTGATGACCTCTGGGCAGGCTTATCTGTTAATGATCACATCAATTTCACAGTCCGAGATTGGATGGTAGTGAATGGTCCTTCTCTAATAATTCAGCAGGAGAATACTTCTCACATGGCTTCTTCCAGTATAAGATAATCTATTGTTATTTAGTAATTATAGGCCTCCAAATTTTTTTTTCCGTTTAGTGGTTTCAGAAATCTTTCCTCTCTGTTTCACATAAGGATATACTATTTATATCTTTTCCCCTTCCCCATATACCCTTTCTTTACCTTTTCTTCCTCTAGTAGCTGAGTTTTATTTACCAACATGCTTATCATGCAGCTTTGAACACCCCTCCACGCTGCCTCCCAAGTGAATTACTAGCTATGCTGTGGTGTATGAGCCCTATGACAGCTTCCCTTTCTGATTGGAAAGAAGAGGTGACATTACATCTTTGTTTAATTTCCTTTTTCCTGAGATCAGTAATGCCAACTCTCCCTTTCCATTGTTTATCACTGATAATCTTTGAATTCCTCACTTGTCTAATTTCCAGAATTTTTATAAAGGCATTTGTAATATGGAAATTCAGTGTGTTTCTTTTAACTATAATGATTTAAAAATTTACATTGTAATATATTTTAGCAACAGAAAATTATAATTATTGTGGGATGTGATTTTATTTGAATATGTTTGGTATCATATGGGGTAGGACCTGCGAAAGTAAAAGTGCCTAAGGATGTACAGTTATAAGATTTTGTAAATAAAAATACAGAATACCCAGTTAAATGCATGTGTACATAAAGATAAAAGAGAAATACTACATGAGGCTTACTTATACTAAATTATTTGTTGTTCACCTGAAATAAATTATAAGCATCTAAATTACATACTTCCTTCTAAAATTACAGCTTCCTGATGATTTGACTTCCCCTAACAGTTCTCTGTTTTGTAGAATTTGCTTGCAGTTATAGTCTGTTTCATTTAGATCGCAACATAATTTCTACAGTGGTCACACCCAATGTATTTTATTCTTTTTTTCTAGTGAACATTTCCAGTAGTTTTACAGTTTTTGCATTTTACATTTAGGCGTGTGGTCCATTTTGAGTTAATTTTTGTGAGGGATTTAAAGTCTGTGTCTAGATTCTTTTTTATTTTTATTTTTTGCATGTGGCAATACTGTTGTTCTAGTACAATTTTTTTGAAAAGACTGTCTTTTAAAAATATTGTTTTGCCTCTGCTTCTTTGTCAAAGATCCATTGACCATATTTATGTAGATCTATTTCTGGGATCTCTATTTCTTTGAACTGTTTGTCTATGATTTTGCAAACACCACCGTGTTTTGAGGACTGTAAATTTATACTAAATCTTTTATTTTTTTTGAGACAGGGTCTCACTCTGTTGCCCAGGCTGGAGTGCAGTGGCATGATCTTGGCTCACTGCAACCTCTGCCTCCCAGGTTCAAGTGATTCTCCTGGCTCAGCCTCCTGAGTAGCTGAGATTACAGGTGCCCGCCATCGTGCACAGATAATTTTTGTGTTTTTAGTAGAGACAGGGTTTTGTCATGTTGGCCTGGCTAGTCTTGAACTCCTGACCTCAGGTGGTCCACCTGCCTTGGCCTCCCAAAGTTCTGGAATTACAGGTGTGAGCCACTGCGCCTGGCCTTATACTAAGTCTTGAAGTTGGGTGGTGTCAATTCTCCAACTTTGTTCTTCACCTTCAATATTATATTGGCTATTTTGGGTCTTCTGGCTCTACATATGAAGTTGAGAATCAGTTTGTTGGTATCTATAAAATAGCTTGCTGATATTTTCATTGGGATTACATTGATCTATAGATGACATTGGAAAGAACTGACATCTTGACAATATTGAGTCTTTATATCTATAAACATGGAATATCCCTCCATTTATTTAGTTCTTTTGGAGTTTTTGCATTAGTTTTGTAGTTTTTCTCATAAATATATATTTTGCTATATTTATACCTAAGCATTTCATTTTTCAGGGTGAAATGTAAATGACATTGTGTGTTTCACTTAACTTATTACCTGTTCATTGTTGGTACAAAGGAAAGATAATGAGTTTTTAATATTAACTTCGTATCCTGCAACCTTGCCACAATTGTTTATTTGTTCCAGGGTTTTTTTTTTTTGGTGATTCTTTCAGATTTTCTACATAGACAATCATGTAATCTGTGAATAAGGACACACATTTATTTCTAGCAAATCTGTATCCATTTTATTTCCTTTTTTTGCTTTATTGCATTAGCTAGGACTTTCAGTGTGATATTAAAAAGTACCGGAGAGAAGGGAAGTCCTTTGCCTTGTTCCTGATTTAATAGGAAAACTTTCATGGTTCTCACAGTTAAGAATGACATCAGCCATTAAGACCCTATCTCCAAAGATGGTCACATTTTGAGGTGCTGGGGATTAGTATTTCATCTAATGAATTTTTAGGGGGGTTACAATTCAGCTTATATCAGTTGGATATTGTATATGAAAAGATGTGGAGGCTCTGGATAATGTGTCTTTCGAGAGTTTTTTCCTTCTATTGGTTGGTTTTGTACATTTTTGGTTTATTTTAGTTTTTTTTGTTTTAGCTTTGTAAGATATGTGGATTTTAAATTTTATTGTTGCTTTCATATTATCCTTTAATTTTAATCTTATTTGTTTAATATCAAAGGATTTTAGAGGGCACAATTTTAAAGGTCCCTTCCAAATTCCACTTATACTTCTTTTCACAATGCCATTCAACCGATTCCTCACAGAACATTTACCTGAATCAAAGTAGCTTGTTATGCTCCAGTATAAAGTTGAGGAATTGAAAACTGTTAAATGCTATTTCTTAAATTAACCAAATACATAATTTAATGACCATTGCATTTTCTGTTATCTTCTATGGTGTTCTCTAGACATGTCTTTAGTCTCCCTGTATTCTCTCCTACATTCTATTCCAGAGGAGTTTGATTGCTCACACAGATAAGTAAAATGCAATGGCTTTTGATGTTATATTGCTAGAAGTATATTACATTTCTTGTACTTATATCTTTTGGGAGGGTCTCTTTCAATGAGTAGGACAATTTACCTTCCAGGAGAGCTCTAGGTAAGCAACCAATGGGTCCTCACAATTAGTTGTGAGTTGATGATGGGGTCTGTCTGAACTGAAAGACAATAATCATCAGATAAGCTTCTCCCTCAGAGGTGTGAGTAATAGTGAATAGCAGGCAAGTGAGTGCTTTATCACTTAGTTCTCAATGCAGAATTCTGAAGCTCCAAGTATCTGTGTGGGAAGGAAAGCCAATATAATGGTTACAGGTTGTTATTAATTTTGTCAATATTTTAAACTCTAATTTGGAGAAGATACACTATTTGGCATGTGTTATTATTGAATTTTTCTAATAATTTTGTTATAGGTTATTTACATGATTACCATAGGGAAAGCCATATTTTGTCCATCTCAAAAAGCAGTAAGTAATTAGTTTGTCCTTTCAAATTTTAATACTTTGGCTTCTTAATTTCTAAAAGTATGTATAAGTAGAATGAATCATTTTGATTCAAATATATTGATGCCTACTCTATACTGGGTACTGAGTAAAGTCCTAGGCATGCAAAAGAGAATAAAACATATTGCACTGTTAAAGAATTTATAATAAAGAAAGATACATTCAGATACCTTAATAGAAAAACAAATAATTTTATTATAATATGGTAATATGATAAATGTGTAAATAGTATTACTTGGAAGTCAGGAAAGGCTTTTATGGAAGAGGTAAGAGATTACTTGTATCTTAAGGGAGGAGACAGAGCTATATAAAGTAGAGGGGCAGGACAGGGGGACATTTTTTTTTCTGAGAGAGTCTTGCTCTGTTGCCCGGGCTAGAGTGCAGTGGAGTGATCTCGGTTCACTGCAACCTCTACCTCCTGGGTTCCAGCAATTCTCATGCCTCAGCCTCCCAAATAGCTGGGACTACAGGTGTGCACCACCATGCCTGGCTAATTTTGTGTACTTTTAGTAGAGATGGGGTTTCATCATGTTGCCCAGGCTGGCCTTGAACTCCTGCCCTGAAGCATTTCTCCCTCCTTGGCCTCTCAAAGTGCTGGGATTACAGGCGTGAACCACTGCACCCAGCCAACATTCTGTTTCGAGAAGAAATCATGGTAGAGCACAGAGGTGTGAGACAGAGTGGCTTTTCTGATGTGCATAGTCAATGTGAATTACTGAAGCACAAATTTTCTGAAAAATAGAGGTAAAAGATTCGGGAAAGGTAGGTAGGAGCCAGGCTGTAGAAGATTCAGAATGCCATGGTCAGATATTGGGAGCCAAAAATGGTTTTAAGTATGTACTTATGTAGCCACATTGAGTCTTTTAGGCTGTTTTTGAGGGGACAAATTAGAGTTAAGGTGATCAATTATATCACGATACAGTTTAGGTGAGTAACAGTGGTGGTTTGAATGATGGCACCAGTGATAGCACTTGAAAGAAAAATCGGTGGACCTCAATATAGATTTGGTAGAATGATTAGTAAACAGTGAGGAATTTCAGATAATTTAGTTGTCGCTCAAGAAAATGAATAGGCTATAGCATAATTAACTGAGGAATATGAACAGGGGATATATTTGTGTGAGGAAGGGGTGATTTCGGTTTTTTAGCACATATGAGATATCCAAGTGTGTTTTTTCCTCTAGATCAGGGGTGTCCAATCTTTTGGTTCCCCTGAGCCACACTGGAAGAATTGTTTTGGGCCACATATAAAATACACTTATGGTAGCTGATGAGCTAAAAAAAAATTTAAAAATCTCATAATGTTTTAAGAAAGTTTACAAATTTGCATTGGGCCGCATTCAAAGCCATCCTGGGCCATATGTGGCTAGGAAATTTGAATCTCTGAAAATATTCAATAGGAATATTGGAAAATAGTTTTAGCTATAGGTATATAGATTGAGCAGAAAGCAGTAGCTTGGCTGTGTTTTTTTTTTAATGAGTGCTCTTACGTAGGGTGCTTATAAATAGATCGTGGCTAAAGACTGGACCCTGGGAAACGGCAATGTTTCCTGGGATAGGTTGAACAAAAACAGCAGCCAACATGGAAGATAAAGCTGGAGGGACCAAGGAGGTAGGAAGAATAGCAGAAGAATGAAGTGTTATGTAAATTAAGTGAGGGGACTGAGTGGCCACAGTTTTCAAAAAGAAGCTAGAGGTCCAATGTAACAATGATTTTTTAAAATGCCTTTTGGATTTGGCGTTCTAATATTTGTGGATCTTTTCCAGGGAAGTTTTAGGGATAATAAGAATTGAGAAAGTGAAGGAATTGTGTGTAGACAATTCTTTTGATGAAATCTGTTAAGAATTGAAAAACATGTACATAAGGAATAGCTACAGTAGAACATGGGGTCAAGAAAGAGTTCTTTAGGATAATAATGACTTATTAGTATCATTTTAAATAGCATTATGATAAAAATCCAGTAGAGCATAAGAGTTCAAAATTATAGGATAGAAAAAGTAGTGTCCTCCGTATATGGCACAGGATGGTATCTGTAGCACCAGTGTAAGGGTTTGTTCTGAATGAAAGCAGTAATCTTCTGGCAATAAAGATAAGGAGTGCAGATGGGAACAGGTGATCTGACAGTGAGGGAACATGGGGGTTTTGTGGGATGAGTGACAGGAGTAGTCTCAAGTTTTTGAATAGTTACTGAGGGAAATAAAATTCTGACCGGAGTTATTGAGAAGAAATTGGCCCTTAGCATAGCTTAGCAAATATGAATTTGTAGTGAGAACAAGTAACTCTTTCTACATTTTCTGTTTGTATTAGTCTGTTTTCACACTGCTGATAAAGACATACCCAAGACTGGGCAATTTACAAAAGAAAGAGGTTTATTGGACTTACAGTTCCACATGGCTGGGGAGGCCTCACAATCATGGTGGAAGACGAGGAGCAAGTCACCTCTTACGTGGATGGCAGCAGGCAAAGAGAGAGCTTGTGCAGAGAAACTCCCGTTTTTAAAACCATCAGATCTCATGAGACCCATTGATTATCACAAGAACAGCATGGGAAAGACTCGCCCCCATGATTCAGTCATCTCCCACTGGGTCCCTCCCACAACATGTAGGAATTATGGGAGCCGCAAGATGAGATTTGGGTGGGGACACAGAGCCAAACCGTATCACTGTCCTAACCTTACACTTTAATTTTGAAACTTTGGTATAAAATCTAAAATCAATGAGTGAAATAGACAAAGACTAGAAAGTTCTATGCTGGAAATTGGGACCTATGCTATTTCCTCTTCATGTCTCTAGCAATCTGAGTTGCTCACTTATCTGCATTTTTGTATTGTATGTTATTCTAGTTAAAATGTCTCACTAAGCACCTAATTCAGTTTAAGTGCTAGAAATGCATGGACAATAATAAAACAAGTCGATTAGCACTACTTTAAATTTTTCAGTAAAAAGAAAATTTGTATAAGAATATTTTTTCTACCTTTTTGGTTTCACAACTTGAGCATGTTTTTATTATTTTTGCCTAGATCAATTTTATCTTCAGCTTCTGTTATTAATTCTTATGACGAAAATGACATCCGTCATTCCAAACCTCTGCTAGTTCAGGTAAGAATTAGGTTATTTTTTTCTTATGTATTTGTAATTCTAGATTTCTTTAAAAAGACAAATATTCTATAATAACTAGAATGTTATTTTACATATTCGCTGAAATTGAATAACTTGGGCTGGTGCTTATTTCTACATGGCACAAATTTATTAGGTAATTGCCAATCATATTAAAGTAGAAATGTAGCTAAAGTAATAAATAGTAAATGTAGCTAAAGTAAAAAATAAATAAAAAATATAAAGTAATACATATAAATAAATATAAATAAAATATATGGGGTGTTTATTTTAAAAATAAGTTATCCATTAATTTTTCTTTTTTTTTCCTAGATGGATTGCAATTATAATGGATATGTTGCGGGTATTCCAAATTCTCTTGTGACTCTCAGCGTATGTTCAGGACTCAGGTTGTAGACTACTTAAAGATACTCAATTTGCCAGTATTATATCCTGCTAGCCTATGAATTAATTCTCCATGTATCTGTTCTAATTCTATAATCACCTTTGTTATATTTCAGTTCCTTAAGGACTGAACCAAAATTACTAATAAAATAGTATTGATATTCTAGCAGTATCTGTTCCTGATGAGAGGCTACCTGTTGATACTGACAGGATCTGCTGCTTTAGGCTTTAAGAAAGGTTGAGTGTAGGGAGATTGATTGGTCTCCTCATACTTTTTTAGTTTTCTCAAATTCTGTTATTGTCCAATTTCCTAATGTCCTAGAAAAATTGACAATTGTGGAATGCATGGGACTAATGGACGCTGGCTCTGCAGTCAGTCATTATTAGGCATATGGTACCTTCAATCCAGCCCACACAAACAAATGATTTAGGGTATCAAGTGTCAGAGGAGAGTTAAGTGTATCAAAGAGAAGGAATCAAAGACTAAAGAAGAGACTGCCTAGAGATTCTACAGGCTGGTTAGAAAATATACATAATAGAAAGGGGTTTCAACCTGTTTAAGTGCACAGATCCATGCCACCACCATGCTTTCTTGAAGATAATCACAGATTTGTAATGTAAGGTAATATGTATCCTGTGATATAGTCGTCTAGTTCTGGTGTAAGAAAGACCCCAAAAGATAAAGAGATAAAAGTAAAAAAAAAAAAAAGCTAAGGTCACTTTAGATCTTAAAAACTGTGGCCCAAATTTCTCGTTATAATATTATGGTTTTAGACCGGGCGCGGTGGCTCACGCCTGTAATCCCAGCACTTCAGGAGGCCGAGGCGGGCGGATCACGAGGTCAGGAGGTCGAGACCATCCTGGCTAACATGGTGAAACCCCGTCTCTACTAAAAATACAAAAAATTAGCTGGGCGTAATGGCGGGCGCCTGTATTCCCAGCTACTCGGGAGGCTGAGGCAGGAGAATGGCGTGAACCCGGGAGGCGGAGCTTGCAGTGAGCCGAGATCGCGCCACTGCACTCCAGCCTGGGCGACAGAGCAAGACTCCGTCTCAAAGAAAAAAAGAAAAAAATTATGGTTTTAGTAGAATCATTTCAGACTTGTTTCGATTGTCTTAACACTCAGGGGAACAATGCAGCTGAAAAACATCTCATATGGAATTGAACCGATGGAGGCTGTATCAGGATTTATACACAAGATTTATGAAGAAAAATATGCTGACACTAATATTCTCTTAGAAGAAAATGACACTTATACTTGGTTTAATTCAGAGTATCAAGTCAGAAAAAGTTCAGAAGTAAGTATTGACTCTTTTATTTTAATTTAGTATAATTTTGTGTAATAAAAAATACTTTCAGAGCCAAGATTTGGTGACTTACAAATCTTAAAACTATTTTACTTCTTCATGAGGGCCCTACATGACTTTTAAAATGGCAAGAGAATAAACTTATGTTTGTCATTATGCTTGCCGTTAGATGAAAGCTTAGCAAAAACTTAATCTTAGAAATATAAAGATATGAATATAGTATAAAAGAAACTGAAACATTAATTTTCATATGTGAACATTTAGATAATTAATGTAAAATATTTTTTCTTCAATTACTCAGAAAATTTAGGGGAGAATATTATACAACCTGGATTTCTCAGTTGAGAGTTCAAAAATGGATGAGCAACTTACATAAAGTACATGTAAAGCAAAGTGAT
The DNA here is from genome assembly GCF_000001405.40 of Homo sapiens. Lineage (NCBI taxonomy): Eukaryota > Metazoa > Chordata > Mammalia > Primates > Hominidae > Homo > Homo sapiens. The sequence goes on from NC_000008.11 coordinate 39,324,747, forward strand.
GATTTTTTTTCTCTACCAAGACCTATAGACTGCTCTAAATAACATGTCTGGCTCTAGCAAATTGCCATTGGTTGTAAATTTTAATATTTTTCTAGACTACATTGTTTGCCAGAAGTAACTTCCTAGTAATTGGTAGCAGAAAATCTGCTTGCGTGAAAGATTAGTATGAAAATTATCAAAAGGCTAAGAAAAACCAAAGCTGTATGTTATAAACTGAAAATTTCAGTTTCAATTATTATAAAAGTAAAAGATTCCTGAGTTTTTACGTATCTTGAGAAGTCTAATAGAAAAGTCTTACTACCCAGGGCACTTTGAACTGGAATCTTCTGAATAGCACCTAATTTTGTACTTGAAAACAGCCTCGTTATGTAATCAGGAGCAATGTATCTTTCAGTGTATCTCTCAATATAATTTCAGTAGAAGGTAAATTTTTGTAAGCTCCTCATGACTCATGTGTGTTTTTCAGAAAACTGACTTTATTAAGTTATTCCCTCGATATATTGAAATGCATATTGTTGTGGACAAAAATTTGGTAAGTCTTACTTTATGCATTGTTATTTTAAAATTAATATATCTCTTTAACTTGATTTCAGTGAGGCAATGGAAATTACCAACCATTCTATTTTACGTTTGCGATGAACACATTCATACAAATTAATCAAGTTTTTGTTATTTTGTATACAGCATCTACTCACTTTTGCAAAGTGAAGCATCTTAATTTCTAAAGCTTGTTGACATTTTTGATTTTTCAAAAAACCTACATCCTCAGTGAAAGGATAGGTTACAACTCCCTTAAGCCCTCAACCCTCATATACAATAATAATATTTAACTGTCTCAGTCTAATTGGAAGGATGGTCTACAAAACAAATATGCCACTTCTTTAAAGCAAAAGGAGAAAACATATTATCACCTGTTTTCTTCTCAGTTCTAGGTGAATGAAACAAAAAGAAAAACCAATGAATAAAATACTCATATTGAGAATTCATGACTATACTTTGGATCTCTTATGAATTTAGGCTCCGAATATTTGTTACCTATGTGGTTAGGATTCTAATCCATGAGGCTACATTTGTCCCAGATTGGTAAAAGCTGAGGGTGCATGATGGAAGCAAATAGTATTTATATCTGGAGGAATGTCACTTCAAGCAGAATACCTCAGGATTCCTACAGATTAATATCAGCCATACATAAATGGGCTTACAATCCGTAAGGAAATAAAACACCATGAACAATGGTTAGCAAAATAAAAAATATATGTATGGCTAATATTCATTTTTTAAAAATATAGTTATGATTGGCAGAACAATAATTTATTTACTTGCCAAGATTTAACATTTCCCTTTGGGGACTTACAAAGTTATAAAGGCAATCCCATGTATAATTAAATCTCCCTGCAAATATGCATTTAAAAGAAGTTTTAATATTCGGTGGTGAACTTTGAGAGGAAAGGTTAGAAACAGTAAAAAGTATCTGGTGAGGTAGGAGTGGGGCTAAGTAAGATGAGTAGTCCTCACTTAGTTACTTATTTTTTATGATTTTTAGCTTAAGATCTTCTATTTCTTCACTTTGATATTTTGGACATTTTTCTGGGCTGTCAGGGGTTGCTCCCTCAGTTTTTCAGGCTTTGACTTGAGTGTGATGTATTCAGGAGTTGATTTTTGTAACTTTTACTGCTGAGGGGTTTGAAAGAAGAACAGTGTAGGGCTCTTCCCAGCTTGGCTTATTAAGGAGAGAGAGATAAGAGTTTTTACTAATACTAAGTTTCCTGGGTTAAATAAAGATGGTTCCTGTTGGAAGTGAGCTAGAGAGGTTATATGTTTAACCAGTTTAGAGGTTTTCTGCCTGAAAACAATTTTTGAGCACATTGATAAGTTTTATCCTTTTCCAAGTGAAAAGCTTGGTGAAGGATTTTTTTTTTTTTTTTTTTGAGACAGAGTCTCACTCTGTCACCCAGACTGGTGTTCAGTGGCACTGTATTGGCTCACTGGGTTGGCTCACTGGCTCACTGGGTCAACCTCTGTCTCCTGGGTTCAAGCAATTCTCCTGCCTCAGCCTCTTGAGCAGTTGGGATTACAGGTGCCCACCACCACGCTCAGCTATTTTAAAAAAATTTTTAGTAGAGATGGGGTTTCACCATGTCTTGAACTCCTGACCTCAGGTGATCTGCCTGCCTCAGCCTCCCAAAGCGCTGGGATTACAGGCGTGAGCCACCATGCCTGGCCCCTGGTAAAGGATTTTAAGGACTTTCTATTGGCCGGAAGCTGGAAAATGGAGTTTGCCATTCTCTGACCATAGCCATTTTGAAGGCTGAAAAGTATGCCCTTGAGAAGTGGCCTATTTTATTTTTGCAGGGGAATACTGAGGTTAATTTTTCTTATGGAGCGTTCCTAGATTAGAAGGGCTTGAAGCGTGTTAATGCCTTGAAGTTTCCTTGTCGCTGACTTAGCTGTCTGATCAGCTAACCTATATTTTTTGGCTACCTTATCTGTTTCCTTTTGATGTTACTCAGAGTGCATTTTTGCTATTTTTTTGTGATAGAAAAACTGAGGATAATAGCCTGCTAATTTTTTGGTGACATTTTATAGGAGATTTATTGGTGGTAAGAAAATGTGTTTCCTTTTAAATGGCAGCATGAGCATGGAGAGCTATGAAAGCATACTTAGTGTTAGTATAAATGTTAGCTATTTTTCCCTTGCTTAATTCAAGTGCTCTTGTCAGAGCTATTAGTTTAGCTATTTGAGTGCCTGTGCCTGGGGAGAGTGACTACTGTTTATTCAGCCTTACGCACTTCTTTCTTTAACCACTGTTTGTTAGCTAAGAAGAGCTCCCCCTAGAGGACAGTAATCCTGCCACTTTATGTGGCGTGCACATAGTTAAATTATTTCCTAGGGTTAACTTGGAGGCTTTTTTGAATAGTAGAACTATCATGACAATGGCTTGGAAGCATGTGTTAATAGGTCCTCTTAACTGCAAATAAAGTTGAGAAAAATATTGGATTAGAGTTTTCCTTGAGATGCCCCTTACAGTCATGCTATGGGAAGAGGGGAGGCCTGGATTAGAGACGAGAAAAGAGAGAGACTGGCTCTAGTGTTTAGAAGGAGGTCTACTTTCCTTTCTTTAATTTCCAGAATTAGCTGGGGCTCCTGTGCTATAATGGCAGTTTGAGCTGCTGGAGCTGGGGCTTGAGCCCCGGGACCCATTAGTCCTGCTGGACCATCTGTGAGACTGTTTCTGAACCCAGTAACCTCCACCTCTGGGGGCAGTTTCATCTCCAGTGGTTTGTGCCACAAACTAGACAGGTTTGAGGTGGCTTCATCTTGCTGCCTGGGCATTCCTTCTTAAAATGCCCTGGCCTGCCACACTAATAGCAATTAGCCGATGCACCTGGGGGATCCTGGACTTTGCAAGCCTGTTAAGCTGCTGCTAGAGACTTTGTCCTTTTTCTGAGCTTTCTTTCTTTTGGGCCTCCTTCTGGTCCCTATTATAAAAGACTGAAGTGGCCACCTTCAGGAAGTTCTCTAAGGTGCTATTTGGTCCTATAGCTTGCTTCTGTAGTTTTCTTCTAATATTGGGAGCTGCCTGTGTAATAAACTTGTCCTTCAGGATGAGCTGTCCCTTGACTGAATTAGGGGATAAAGAGGCGTGTTCTATTAGTGCTTCTCTCAGCCTTTCCATAAAGGCTACAAGATTCTCATTTGGCTTTTGGTTTATTATAGATAGTTTAGAGTAATTGAGTGGTTGGTCCTGGTTTTTCATAGGCCTTCTAAAATGCATATTAAAAAGTGCTTTCTTTTCCATCTAGCTCCTGAGCTATTGGGGTTTCAGTTAGAGTTGTCTACTGGAACTGCTTCCCTCCCAATTGGGAATGGTGTTTCTACTACTTTTTCACTTTCCCAATCTGCTTTCTTACCTTTTGGTGTATTATGGGAGATACACATTGTTCATTTTCAAAATTCTCTGCTGCTTGCAGAGCTGCCTGCTTTTCAGCTGCAGTGAGGGTCTGACTTAGGACCAATATGACATTACTTCTTATTTTGGAGAGCTTTTATATACCTATCAGGGTCATCAGAAAATCAGCCTAAGTCTCCCTTTATTTGCTTAAGGTCCTATAATCAGAAGCGAACTTGAAGGGGCCCCAACTAAGGGGGATCCTTAGATGGTTCCCCTGGAAATTGCTTTTTTAATTTTGGGAAACTATTTTCCTTGGGCCTGCCTGATATGATTGCTCAAAGAGCTGGGTTGATCTTACAATGCTTGTAAAGGTTTAGTAAAAATGCTATGCCCTTGTGGAAAAGAAAATGAGTTGCTTTTTTCTTCAATGTTCTGAGGTTAAGGAAGTGCCAGTGTTTCCGAGTGCATTCCAGAGGGGTGCAAGCTGAAGATAATTTGTTACCCATTTAGAAAAAGAAAAGAGAATAAAAGCGTCCTCTTATTCTCCTTCCTTTCCATATGACCCAGAGTGGAGGAGAAGACAGGGAGCATCCTCGGACATTTTTCCTTCCCTGGTTTCTGGATCCTGGCCCCATGTTAAATGTGCCACCCATGGTTGAAGGCATGGTCCTTCAAACCATGGAATCAGATGAGCTAAGCGATGGGACTAACCACGCTTTACCCATGCAACCTTAGCTTCTCTGCCTTGTGTGATTCCCCTCTGACTTCCTAAAGCTGTGTGATCCTCCTGGCTCCCCGAAAAATGGATCTCGGGAGAGACTGTGTCACCTTTGGGCAAGGCTCCTTTAATGTAGGCAATGTGCTAGATTGCCTGCTATTATGGCCCGTGCTAAAGCATTTACCCTTAAAAAAAATGGTTCCGGTTATCTTCTGAATTTAAAATCCCCTTACTAATTAAGTACTATCTTAATTGGAGACAGAATAGGTGCCTTAAAAGAATGTAGCAACTGAATGGCCATTTTCCTGCTGATGGGACAATATCCAGACTAAAATTTGGCTGTGGAAGACATCTTACTCCTAACTGTTGCAGCAAAGGACTGGCAATGTGTCTTATGAAGAGGATTTCTATTTCCACTAGATGAAGCGCTGTTGGCTTAGAAATACCATGTGCTCATTAGCAGTGAGTGACCTCACTGTGGGTGAAAGGCGAGAACTCTCTTCCTAGAAGGTTGCAATGGCATTTTTCCTGAGCTATATCCCCAGTCTACAGCATTTCCTGATCTTGCCTAACAGGATTATTTCGCTAGCCCATAAAAGTTCCCACACATTCGACACACACACAGAGAGTAAGAGACTACAGATAGAGAAGAAAAGTTTGGCGACAGGATAGCTGGAGGAGAGCCTTGAAATTAAAGGACAGATTTAAGGTGGAAGTTCGCTCCTAATACTCACCACTCCGATGAATGAATTCTCGGCCCATGAACCAAAATGATACAGCTCTGATAAATGAAGGAATGGGGGGCTCGGAACAAAGAGGAACCCCGGGTGCAGCAAAGAAGTAGTTGCTTATATTGGGAAGCTAAAGGAGGCAGTATCTAATTTACGTAGGGCCCAGGGGATTGGTTTAACCAGGTGTATCATCCACATAGCCCATGAGAAACCTGGCCCTCCTACCTTAGTCCTTTAATATGCAAATGTGGGTCACCACACTGTTTTATCACATGGTGTTATCTAAAGGTGGCCATAATACTTGGCACATCTGGTAACAAGAAGGAAAAGGTGGGACTCGCCATGTTAAGTGGACCCAGATTTTAATCATCAGCATTTGCATATCAAAGCTTGCTGGCCTGGCCCTTCCTGTTGCGTTTTCTGTTAAGTAAGAAATGTTTCTTATTACAGGAAAATTTGCACCAAGAACCTTTACCCTTTCTAGTGGCCTAAAAACTGTTTCTTAATAACTCCTGTATTATTGCCATGAACGTTGGTGTACAAATATTTTTATGAGTCTGCACTTTCAATTTTTGTAGGTATATACCCAAAAGTAGAAGGTTAGCTCGTATGGTAATTCTATGTTTAACTTTTTGAAGAGCTGTCATACTGTTTTCCACAGCAGCTGCACCATGTTCCATTCCCATTAGTAATGCACAAGGACTTCAGTTTCTTCCCGTTCTCACCAACAATTGTTATATTCAGTTTGTTTTATTAATAATAGTAATTGTAATGGGTGTGAAGTGGTATCATCTTGTAGGTTTGATTTTCATTTCCTTAATGATTAGTGATGTTGAGTGTCTTCTCCTGTGCTTATTTCTCATCTGTAGGTCTTCTTTGGAGAAATGTCTGTTCAAGTCCTTTGCCCATCTTTTAACTGCACTGTTGTTTTTGTTGCTATTGTTGTTATAGAGACTGGGGATTTCTTTATGTATTCTGGATATTAATTCCTTATCTGATATATGATTTGCAAATACTTTCTTCCATTCTGTGTGTTGCCATTTTACTCAGTTGATTGTGTCCACTGATGCACAATAGTTTCTAATTTTATGTTGGCTTTTCTGTGTATCCAGTTATAGTTTAGTCCATTCATCAAAAGCCACATTCACAAATTCCTTAAAAAATAGGCACCTTTACTCTGGGAGGCTTGCCAAGCTTCTGAGTGACAACTCCCTTAATATTAGAAACTGTTTTGTATAACTAAAGGGTGTCTACTAAGTACAATCTTAAATCTCTCAAAGGCCTCAACAAAATGTACTATAGTTACACCCTTGATGTGAGATAGTTTCTTACTTTGAGTGTGAATGGCTGGAGATAAGGATTCTCCTTACAATCGGAACAGTTTGTTCCTTTAGCATAACTCTTTCTTCTTTTACTTTATCAAAAACAGCAAATATAAGCTAATTGACACACTTAACACTCTGATTTTAAATTATTTTGCCAAAGTTCACAAATTGATTAGGTACATTTAAAATTTTTTTTCGAAGACTACACATTGGGTACAGAGTACACTGCTCAGGTGATGGGTGAACCTAAATCTCAGAAATCACCACTAAATAACTTAATTATGTAACCAGACACCACCCTTTGCAAGTAAACTCTCAGGATTTTAGTTCCAGCAAATGAAGGCAAAAGTGACTAATCAGAGCAAATGAGACTCAGCCAGGTGCATCAGTCGCAGGGTGCATGAGCCTCATCCAGCTGGCACAGAGCACTGCTTCTGTGACCACCAAGCTGCAGACAAACCAGCAGACTGCAAAGAACTACATCACTTAGAAGCTGATAGAAGTCTTATTATTGTGATAGATTATGCTGAAACATTGAGCCTTACTGTACTTAATCATTTCATATAATTTTCACAATGACAGTAAAATCCTGTCACAAGTGGCACTGTCAACTTTTCTGCTTTTCTATGTGCATTCCCTTTTCCTCACATTGACATTCAAATTACAGAGTCTCCTTCGTCTAAAGGAGCTGTCCTATTGAAGCAGCATCCTTGCCTGGGGAAATACCCGAGGTTTGTCGTCTCGTTCTGAGATTAATGACATGGACACACACACATGGAATGGGTTAAGGAGCAGGAAGTTAAATAGGCAGAAGAAAGGAGAGAGGAGAGCAGCTTGCTCTTTGTTATGAGAGAGAGATGTCCAAAAGGGAAAAGTCGGCCGGCGGCGGACTGCTCCAGATCTTATAGGCAGGATGGAGGAGGCAGTGTTGGATTTCCGTAGGCCCCACAGTTTGGTTTGATCAGGTGTAATGTTTACATGGTGCCCAGGGAAGGCTGGTTGCCCTGCCCTAATCTTATTATGCAAATGGACTTTCTACTTGGCCAGCGCCATCTTGTCTGCTCCTTACTGTACGTGTGGCTGGCAAAGAGAAGATGGAGCTGCCATTTTGAACATGCCTATTCCCAGGAGGCCTTTTCCTATTGGCACAACTGCCGGCATTCGCCTGTGCAAGCTTCTAGCTTGCTTGTCTATGTCTGCAGCTTGATTTTACAGGCTGATGTTTGTTAGAAAAGAAAATGATTTTGGAGTTGCTTTTCATTAAAAGGAAAACCTTACTGAGGACTCCCGTACCCTCAGTGTCTGCCTAAGTAATTTCTTCTTAACTCCTATATAACCAGCTCGCTAATGGGACCAATTCATTTGACCTGCACTGCAGTACAGCCACAGAGCTGAGTAATATGTATAGGATCCAGGGGGAATGAGCCCTCCCAGCTGGCCCCTCCTGCCATTTGATTCAGAGATGAGAGTTCCTCTTTCTTTTGACTTAGGCTGATTTATAGAAAAAAAGCACATTCCAGAATAATTAAGTAAAGTATTAGCCAGATAGTCTTCAGCTGCTGGCTTGGATTATATAACAACTCCCTAATTCTAGAAGCTAAGGAACAGAAGGCCAGCATTTTCTCTGATTTCCTATAGTTTTAATGCTTTTCCACTCTCCCCTTCCCTTCTCCCAGCCCACTGTCCCACCACTTCACTGCATATGCCTTTGAAAGTCTATGTGGATCATATTCTTCAGCTATTTTGATTATCTTGGGTGCTTCTGCTTACACTGCCATGTATCCTGGCCTCATAAAATATTCACTTTACGTGACCCTTGCTTGCTGCCTTTAACACACTCACCATAGAACTCTTGCAGAGACAAAATTCCAGGAAAAGCACCTGCAACTGTTAGTGCGTTAAACCAGTATTCCGAGATGACTAAATGCATTGCTTCTGCCGTAGAAGAAAATGCTGGGGTGAAGCGAGAGCACAGGTGAAAGACCTGGTTTTCCTTAAATGGATAAAGCCTCAGAGGCTTTTATATTCTTGGAGGACCCAGTCCTGATTCTTCTGATCATTTTTCAAATCAACTTAATGAATATGAGATGGGCTGTACATTAAACTGATATAACAGGTAAATATCACCTGCATTTAGCATGGGCAGCTGATATAGGGCAACTGTTTTCTGTGATTGTAAAGAATTTGTAAGGGGAGTAAAAATGTGGGCCGGATTTCTGAATGAGATTTACGTTCTGCTCTCACTCTTGACCCGCTGCCACAATAAACACGGGGAGATATTTTTAAGCTCTCATGAGTAAAAGCAATGCCAACTGCTATGGATTGCTTTTGGTAGAATTTTGGGTAATTTCGCATTACAAATGTTTCCTCTACTTACGCCTTCCTTAAAAGATAACTAAATGCCAAGCCCACTGGAATAAACATACAGAGTAAAGAGCTACATATACCCCAACATATTGTTTTTCCAAAGCTACAAGCCTATGTCAGATGCTTTGTACCCCACACTGCTGTCCAAGTGAAGCCTCCTTCCTCTATCTTCCAAGTACAGCCCAAACCCTAAATATGACCTTTAAAAGGACCCTTTACAAAGTGGGTGTTTAAAGTGAATAAAATGTCATCTAATCATCTATTCCTTTTGCCTTAAGCTGCAGAGTCATCCACGTTTGCTATTTCCTTCAAGTCTACTTTCTTTTCCTAAACACCGGAAGCTTCAGAGCCACTCACGCATTGCAGTAATTTTGCTGGCTCAGGGTAAAAAATAAGGCCTTTTCTGTGTTGATGAAATCAGGCCGGTTCCTCAGTAGGATCTGTGGTCTAGGGTGACCCTGGAGAGACATGAATTTCTAATTTTTATACTTTACTCAAATTTCATAAATTATTTTTATTTCAAAATCCAGTGCTTTAGGGCTGGGCGCAGTGGCTCATGCCTGTAATCAGCACTTTGGGAGGCTGAGGCGGGCAGATTGCTTGATGCCAGGAGCTTGAGACCAGCCTGGCCAACATGGTGAAACCCGGTATCTACTAAAAATAAAATAAAAAATTAGCTGGGCGTGGTGGTGACACCTGTAGTCCCAGCGACTCGGGAGGCTGAGGCAGAAGAATTGCTTGAACCCAGGAGGCAGAGGTTGCAGTGAGCCGAGATCGTGCCACTGCACTCCAGCCTGGGTGACAGAGCGAGACTCCCTCTCAAAAACATTTTTTAAAAATCCAGTGCTTCATAATGAATTGATTAGGTGCCTAAGGGTATCAGGGAACCTGCCCCGATATTCACGTAGGTTCTTTTCTATTTTCCTTAAGCGTTGGCCAGCTTGATCTCCATTCATATTATATGGTATTTCATTCATGGCTTCTCTGGGAGAGAAGCACTGAGTTGTACCTCTCAGTCAGCCAACAACACTCCCGCTTGTGATGTTCCCGTATAATAATGAGAAAAGAGGCTCCCATGGGTATCCCACACACGTGCATAAAAGAAATGCCTTCAAAGTGAAAATGATGCCACGCTACACCTAGTGTAGGATCACCTGGGTTAGCTGGGGAAAAAAATGCTTCAGTGTCTGTAGTCATGAAGTGATTCTGTATTTTATTGTAGAAATCATATCAAGTATCAGTTTCAAACGATTTTTCTTTTTTTTTTTTTTGAGATGGAGTCTCGCTCTGTTGCCCAGGCTGCAGTGCAGTGGCACGATCTCTGCTCACTGCAGCCTCCGCTTCTCGGGTTCAAATGATTCTCCTGCCTCAGCCTCCCAAGTATCTGGGATTACAGGTGCTCACCACCGCACCCGGCTAATTTTTGTATTTTTAGTAGAGACAGTGTCTCACCACATTGGCCAGGCTGGTCTCGACTCCTGGCCTCAGGTGATCCACCTGCCTTGGCCTCCCAAAGTGCTGGGATTACAGGTGTGAGCCACCGTGCCTGGCTACAAGCAATTTTTACATACTCCATGCTTAAGTTGAGATGTTGCCTCTACTTTCTTTCTTTCTTTCCAGGAGTGTCAGCAGCTATAGTGAAGTTTCAAGAAGGGGGAATGCTGTCGGGACTGAGCAGGCAATGGCCTAAAAACAATAAAAAGCCCTACTAAAAGCTGGTTTTCTTTTTATTATTATCCTGTACTGACAATTCTTAGTAATATCAGTGATGAAATAAATCACTGGGGAAGACCTCTCCCACACCAGCCCCTAGTTGATATGGCACTGTGAAAGCACTCCAATATCTTTCTTTCTTTTTTTCTTTTTTGAGACGGAGTCTTGCTCTGTCACCCAGGCTGGAGTGAAGTGGCGCAACCTCGGCTCACTGCAAGCTCCGCCTCCCGGGTTCAGGCCATTCTCCTGCCTCAGCCTCCCAAGTAGCTGGGACTACAGGCACCCGCCACCACACCCGACTAATTTTTTGTAGTTTTAGTAGAGACGGAGTTTCACTGTGTTAGCCAGGATGGTCTCCATCTCCTGACCTCGTGATCCGCCCGTCTTGTCCTCTCAAAGTGCTGGGATTATAGGCGTGAGCCACTGCACCCGGCTTCCGATATCTTTCTTAGGAAGGATACATCATCATTTAAATAATGAAAGCAATATATATTCACTGTAGAACATCCAGAAAAATTTGAAAAAATATTTTTAGGAGAGAATCAAAATTCACATTAACTCCACCACTTATTGATAATCATAGATCTTTATGTCATTATTACTTTTTATTATTAAAAGTAATTCTGCCATATATATCCTTGTTACATATATTTCTTTTGACATTTGTGATTTTTTTGGGGAAGTACATTCTTGAAAGTTTAACTTTTTAAAAAGCATCAAATATATATCATCATGTCCTTAAAAAGTATTTATCAATTTATAATTCCTAGATTAGTGTACACCTCTCCCAACACAAAACTTTATCATGAAAAATAAATCCTGATTATTTAATTGGCAAAACTTTTTTGAGTTTTCCAATTGTTTTGTTACTACGTTTAATAGGTCACTACTTTTTTCAGGATAATAGTCATTTCCTCATTGCTCTCTTAGCTTCTGATAACAAGCAGCTCACCATTTCTCTAGCCTTTGCTAGAGAAGAGCTCCCCTGATGCATCTGGAACCCTGGGTTGCTTTCTTAGACTGAGAGTAGTCACACATATTTGTGGTGCTTGTTATCATAGCACCTTACTTACAAGCACCAATTTTAAATACTCTAATACTCTGTAAAGAACCACCACAAAAAAGTGGCTTAATGCAAAAGCCATTTATTTAGCTAATAATTTTGCTAGATATTTCTTTTGGTCTGTATGTGGCTTGGCTGGGAAGTTCTGCTTGTCTCAGCTGGGCTCATTAATGCTTCTGAAATCAGCTTCTAGTCAAAAAGGTGTCTTTGATTCTGGAAGTTGGCTAAATATTAGATAGGGTCACTGGGCTTTGTGTTTTGTGTCTTCTAGGCGGGTAGGCCAGGCTTCTTCACATAACAAGTGTTGCAGGGATCCCACAGTGTCAAGAGAGAGAAATCCAGTGCTCAAACACTTTAACATCTTTGCATGTGTCACCTTTGCTGCTGTTCCACTAGCCAAAGAAACAGAATGTTCATCCTCCTGTCAAAACCCCCACTACCCTTCCCAGCCTCTGGTTACCATCCTTCTACTCTCTGTGACCATTAGTTCAATTGTCTTGATTTTTCAATCCCACAAATAAGTGAGAACATGCGATGTTTGTCTTTCTGTTCTTGGCTTATTTAACTTAACACAATAATCTCCAGCATCCATGTTGCTCCAAATGACTGGATCTCATACTTTTTTTATGGCTGAGTAGTACTCCATTGTGTATATGCACCACATTTTCTTATGCATTTATCTCTTGATGGACCCTTCTAAATCTTAGTTATTGCAAACAGTGCTCCAAGAAACATAGGGATGCACTGATTTCCTTGCTTTTGGGTATATACCCAGCAGTGAGATTGCTGGATCATATGGTAGCTCAATTTTGAGTGTTTTTGAGGAAAGTGCAAACTATTCTCCTCAGTGGTACATCCCCACTAGTACATCCCCACTAGCAGTGTACAAGGGTTTCCTTTTCTCTGCATTCTCTTCAGCATTTGTCATGTGATGAGCCTCTTATATATTGTGGTTATTAATCCCTTGTCAGATGGGCAGTTTGCAAATATTTTCTCCCATTCAATGGGTTGTCTCTTCACTTTGTTGATTGTATCTTTCAATGTGCAGGATTTTTTTTTGACAGAGTCTTGCTCCGTTGCCCAGGCTGGAGTGCAGTGACATGATCTCGGCTCACTGCAAGCTCTGCCTCCCAGGTTCATGCCATTCTCCTGCCTCAGCCTCCCAAGTAGCTGGGACTACAGGCGCCTGCCACCATGTCCAGCCAATTTTTTTTTTGTATTTTTAGTAGAGACAGGGTTTCACCGTGTTAGCCAGGATGGTCTTGATCTCCTGACCTCGTGATGCACCTGCCTCGGCCTCCCAAAGTGCTGGGATTACAGGCGTGAGCCACTGCACCGGGCTTACTGGAAAAAGAAGAAATTAGAACATGTATTATAATATGTTGTGAAAAAGGATGTTTCTAACACAGTATACGGTATCATTTTAATGGTAATCCACTCATTGAGGATTTTCCCACTTTCTCCACATACTGTTTTTCAGTGTAGGATTACATTTATAATGATATCCATTTTAGAAATTCAGTATTCAATTTTCATAAAAAAGAAATAGTACTACAAATTGAGTGCATTAAACATTGCCTAAAATCATGTTGTTATATATTTTTATTAAATCATTATTTGCATATTATCACTGATTTCCTGGATTTCAATTGGAGTGGATTCCTATGGCTACTTTAGAATATAGCATATTGTAAAATGAAAGAGATGTGAAATATTAATTATATCCACTAGTTTTTAAAAATAATTTATCTTTTTCAGTTTGATTACATGGGCTCTGATATAAACACTGTAACGCAGAAGGTTATTCAGATAATTGGCCTTGTTAACAGTGTAAGTTTTTAAAAACTATTTTATTTTATTTATTTATTTTTTTAATTTTTAATTTTTTTTAAAGTATTTATTGATCATTCTTGGGTGTTTCTCGGAGAGGGGGATTTGGCAGGGTCACAGGACAATAGTGGAGGAAAGGTCGGCAGATAAACATGTGAACAAGGGTCTCTGGTTTTCCTAGGCAGAAGACCCTGCCGCCTTCCGCAGTGTTTGCGTCCCTGGGTACTGGAGATTAGGGAGTGGAGATGACTCTTAACGAGCATGCTGCCTTCAAGCATCTGTTTAACAAAGCACATCTTGCACCGCCCTTAATCCATTTAACCCTGAGTTGACACAGCACATGTTTCAGAGAGCACGGGGTTGGGGGTAAGGTTATAGATTAACAGCATCTCAAGGCAGAAGAATTTTTCTAAGTACAGAACAAAATGGAGTCTCCCATGTCTACTTCTTTCTACACAGACACCATAACAATCTGATTTCTCTTTCTTTTCCCCACATTTCCCCCTTTTTCTATTCGACAAAACCGCCATTGTCATCATGGCCCGTTCTGAATGAGCTGTTGGGTACACCTCCCAGACGGGGTGTCGGCCGGGCAGAGGGGCTCCTCACTTCCCAGACAGGGCAGCCAGGCAGAGGCGCCCCCCACCTCCCGGACGGGGCAGCTGCTGGGTGGGGGCTGCCCACCACCTCCCTCCCAGACGGGGCGGCTGGCCGGGCGGGGGCTGCCCCCCACCTCCCTCCCGGACGGGGCAGCTGGCTGGGCGGGGTCTGCCCCCCACCTCCCTCCCGGATGGGGCGGCTGGCTGGGCGGGGGCTGCCCCCCATCTCCCGGATGGGGCGGCTGCTGGGCGGAGGGGCTCCTCACTTCCCAGATGGGGCGGCTGCCGGGCGGAGGGGCTCCTCACTTCTCAGACGGGGTGGCCGGGCGGAGATGCTCCTCACCTCCCAGACAGGGTGGCGGTTGGGCAGAGACACTCCTCAGTTCCCAGACGGGGTTGCCGCCGGGCAGAGGCGCTCCTCACATCCCAGACGGGGCGGCAGGGTAGAGGCGCTCCCCACATCTCAGACGATGGGCGGCCAGGCAGAGACACTCCTCACTTCCCAGACGGGGTGGTAGCCGGGAAGAGGCGCTCCTCACTTCCCAGACTGGGCGGCTGGGCAGAGGGGCTCCTCACATCCCAGACGATGGTTGGCCAGGCAGAGACTCTCCTCACTTCCCAGACGGGATGGCGGCGGGGAAGAGGCGCTCCTCATTTCCCAGACTGGGCAGCAGGGCAGAGGGGCTCCTCACATCCCAGACTATGGGCGGCCAGGCAGAGACGCTCCTCACTTCCCAGACGGGGTGGCGGCCGGGCAGAGGCTGCAATCTCGGCACTTTCGGAGGCCAAGGCAGGCGGCTGGGAGGTGGAGGTTGTAGCGAGCGGAGATCACGCCACTGCACTCCAGCCTGGGCACCATTGAGCACTGAGTGAGCGAGACCCCGTCTGCAATCCCAGCACCTCGGGAGGCCGAGGCTGGCAGATCACTCCCGGTTAGGAGCTGGAGACCATCTTTGGTCTTTCTCACAATTCAAAATACATTCATTTCACCCAAGTAGCCCCCAAAGTATTAACTTCTAGCATCAACTAAAAAATCTGAAGTTCAAATTCTAATCTAAGTCAGATGAGGGTAAGACTCTAGGCATGGTTTATCCTGAGGCAAATTCCTCTCCAGCTGTAAGCCTGTGCAATTAACAAGTTGCATTGTTTTTTGGTGCTTCCAAAATACAATGGAGGAACAGGCACAGGATAGACATTCCCATTCCAAAAGGGAGAAATAGGCAAGAAGGAAGGGGTAACTGGTCTCACATAACTCCAAAACCCAACGTGGAAAAACAGTATTGGCTTAAACCTGGAGAATAACCTCCTTTGACTCCATGTCCTCCATCCTGGGCATACTTGGGTGGAGGTTGAGTCTGTAAAACATCAGGATTCTTGCTTCTTTCTGGTCTTAGTCCACCCAGTAGCTTTCACATGTTGGAGTCTCATGCCTGTATCTCTCCCAGACTGAGGTTGCAAGCTGGTGGCTTTAAAGTTCTGGGGCCTCAGGGACTGCCCCACTCCCATGGCTTCACTAGGCATTTCCCTAGTGGGAGCTCTCTGTGATGGTCTCACTCTTATGGCCTTGATAGGTTTTGCTCTAGTGGGAGCTCTCTGCAGTGGCTCTATCCCTGTGACAAGTCTCTGCTTGGGCTCCCAGGTCGTTGATGACATTATTTGAAAAGATCTAGGTGGAGGTCACCATGGTCTGGCAACTGTTGTGTTCTGCAGGTTTGCAGAGTTAGCATCATGTGGACATTGTCAAGGCTTACCACTTGTGCCCTTTGGAGAGGTGGCTGAGCCACACCTGGGCCCACTTGAGTAATGGATGGGGAAGCTGAGAAGCACTGTGTCAGAATGCAGAGTCCCAGGGCAGCCCTGGGCAGTGAACCTGTGGAGCACACCCCAGGCCTGTTCTCTGAAACCATTCAGCCCTTTTAGAGCTCTGAGCCTGTGATGGGATGATGGGAGAGGCATCCTCAGAGATCTCAGAAATGCCTTCAGGGTCATTCTCTTGTTGTCTTCCTAGTTAAGCAGGATAGAACCTGGCTTTATTGTATCCATATTAATCTCTTTAGCAAACAGTTGCTTTTTTTTTTTTTTTTTTGAGACGGAGTCTCACTCTGTCACCCAGGCTGGAGTGCAGTGGTGCGAGCTCAGCTCACTGCAACTTTCGCCTCCTGGGTTCAAGCAATTCTCCTGCCTCAGCCTCCAGAGTAGCTGGAATTATAGGCACGTGCTACCATGACTGGCTAATTTTTGTATTTTTAGTAGAGAAGGGGTTTCACCATATTGGCCAGGCTGGTCTCGAACTCCTGACCTCAAGTAATCCTCCTGCCTCAGCCTCCTAAAGTTCTGGGATTACAGGTGTGAGCCACCATGCCTGGTCACAGTTGCCTTTTTAAACATGCTTTTTTATTTCTTACATAGCCATCCTGAAAGTTTTCAAATCTGTCTGTTCTGCTTCTTTTAATGATAAATTCCATATTTAAATCATTTCCATTCTCATTTTACTATAAGCAGCCAAAAGAAGCCAGGCAGCACCTTGAACACTTTGCCACTTAGATATTTCTTCTGCCAGATATCCTAGTTCATCACTCTTAAATTGAGTCATGGATGGGGAAGCTGAGAAGCACTGTGCCAGATTGCAGAGTCCCAAGGCAGCCCTGAACAGTGAACCTGTGGAGCACAGGATGTCTTCCACATGGTCCTAGGACGCCAAAACAATTCCACTAAATTCTTTGCAACTGTGTAGCAAGGATGGCCTTTACTTCTGTTTCCAGTACCTTGTTTCTCATTTCCACCTGAGGCCTCATCAGAATGAACATTAAGTCCATATTTTTATTGGTTTTATGATCACAACCACTTAAGTAATATTTAAGAAGTTCCAGACTTTCTCTACACTTCTTCACTTCTTTTGAGCCCTCACCACAATCTCCCTTAATGCTCCATTTATGACAATCTAGGACTTTTCTGCTTCTCCAAACTCTTGTAGCCCCTACCCATTATTCAGTTCCAAAGCTGCTTTTACATTTTTAGAAATTTGTTATAGCAATAGCTCCACTACTGGTACCATTTTTTTTTCTTATTCTGATTTGTACTGTTAAAACAGAATGCCCACGACTGGGTAATTATAAAGAAGAGAGGTTTATTTGCCTTAGGGTTCTGGATCCTGATAAATTCAAGGTTGAGAGGCCCACATCTTGTGAGAGTTCCTTGCTGTGTTATCCCATGACAAAAGGCATAAGGGCAAGAAAGCAGACACACGTACTGGAGAGGGGATCAAACTCACTTTTATGACAAACCCACTGTTCTGAAAATGAACTTGTTCTTGTGATAATGACATTAGTACATTCATAAGGACAGAGCCCTCATGATTTAATCACCTCGTAAAGGTCCCACCTCTAAACACTGTTGCATTGGGTATTAAGTTTCTAACACATGAACATTAGGGGACACATTCAAATATGGGGGTGATATTATACATAATTCAGCCTTAAAAAACAAATACATTTTGTCATTTATGACAACATGGATGAATCTGGAGAAGATTATGCTGAGTGAAATATAATCCAGGCACAGAAAACAAATTCTGCCTGATTTTACTTATAGGTAGAATCTAAAAAAGTCAAACTCATCAAAGTAGAGAGTAGAATGGTGGTTACCAGAGGCTGGGGGTGGGGAGTGGGGAATGGGGAATGGAAAGATACTGGTAAAAACGTACAAAAGTTTGGTTAGAAAAAAGAAATAATTTTAGAGTAAATTGCACAGTGCAGTGACTATAGTTAATAATAACATGTTGTATATTTCAATATTGCCAAAGAGCACATTTTAAACATTCTCATCACAAAGAAATAATAAATACGTGAGGTGAGGGATATGCTAATTAGCGTGATTTATACATATATTGCAATATATACATGTATCGAAACATCACATTGTGCCTCATAAATATATATAATTATCATCAACTGAAAATAAAATTTTTAAGAGTTAAAATGCTTTGATACCTGCATTTAAAACTGGCATTGTACAATATAAAGATAAATGGTAAAATTCATGCTAATAACTTAGAATTTTAATTTAGGACAACACTGACTAGCAAACAAATAACACCATGACTCCTGAGAGACTGCTGAAAAAAGAAAAAGCTTTTTGTTTTAATACCATTAACAGTAATTTTCCCTGCTTTATACATAAGGGGCCCCATATTTCCATTCCTGAAAACTAAGCTGTTAGTCCTAGTTTTTCTGCATCAATGCCAAGACTTGATATGCTCAGTATGTTCAATTTACGTCTCTTTAGTTGGTATGTAGTATTATCTCATATAGGTTGTATATGTACTTCCCTAGAAGCTAATGATTTGAACATATTTTCATACTTCATATCCTTTGCATAGCTTATTTGGTAATGTGCCTATTTAGATCTTTTTTCCACTTTGTAAAATAAAAATATAGGTTTTTGTGCTGTTGATGAATTACAAGATTTGTTTGTATATTCTGGCTATGGTTTCTTTACCAGATACATGATTTTCAATTGTTTCTTTGTAGTCTGTGGCTTGTCTTTTTTCTTTATAGTTGTCTTCTCTGGAAGACAGGTTTTAAAATTTTGATTCAAAAGTCCAATTTATCAATTTTTATGCAACATGCGTTTATAGCTCTTATAGTTAGTTTATGATACATTTTGCAATTATTGTACATGTGTCCAAGTTCATTTTTATTTTGTCATATAGAGTGACAGTTATTCTAATACTATTTGTTGAAAAGACTAGCCTTTTACCCACTTAATTGTCTTGGCAATTTTGTCAAAAATCAATTTACCATGAATGTGTGGATTTATTATTGGAATATCTATTCTAATTCATTAACCTGTATGTCTATCCTTATAGGAAAGCACACTGTCTCTATTACTGTAGCTTTACACTGAGTTTGAAATCAGGTAGTGCAAGTGCCATGAGTTTTTAAATATTTTCCCAAATTGTTTTGGCTATTCTAGGTCCTTTACATATTCATCTATATTTTATTATCAGCTTTGTAATTTCTGCAAGAGTCCTGCTGGGATATTGCATTTTCAATATCATAGTTGTTTTTTTTTTTTAAGACGGAGTCTCGATCTGTTGCCCAGACTGGAGTGCAGTGGCATGATCTTGGCTCACCACAACCTCTGCCTTCTGGGTTCAAGCGATTCATCTGCCTCAGCCTCCCAAGTAGCTGGGACTGCAAGGTGCGTGCCACCACGCCTGGCTAATTTTTGTATTTTTAGTAGAGACAGGGTTTTGCCATGTTGGCCAGGCTGGTCTTGAACTCTTGACCTCAGGTTATCCGCCTACCTTGGCTTCCCAAAGTGCTGGGTTTACAGGTGTGAGCCACTGCGATTGGCCAAAACTCCTTTTAAGAAAGGATGAGACGGTATTGGTGATGGAGCTTGCTGTAGCAGGCAAGCAACATCAGTTTGCAAGGAAAAAAAATTCATCTTGTTTGTGCTGTCATTGAACAGGACTGACAACAGCATGAACAATAGTCAACACCACAGACATTTCAATTGGTTCAGCTAACACAATTCTGGCTGAAAAATTAAAGGTGAGCAAATTTTCCACTCAGTGGGTGCCAAAGTCATTGTGTCCAGAGATAGATAAGAGCAGATAAGAGCAGAACTTTGATGGAGATCAGATAAGAACAGAACTTTGATGGAAATTTTTTGAAGCAATTTTGAAAAAAAAATCAAATAAAACTAGTGAATTTTGCAAGTCATTGGATACACAATCAGTGTATTAATATAACAATGAATTGGATTTCTGTATATTTGGCAACAAATAGAAAATGAGATAAAAGGTACAATTCCATGTATAATGTTTTTCAAAACAGGAAGTATATAGATATAACATTCATGAAGTATGTACAATTGTGTACAAATAAAAATTAAGATTCTGAAACATTTCATTGAAGAATTGTAACAGGAGGTGGAACAGCTTTACCAGCACAATCCTGAAGATAAAACACAGTCAAAGCAATGGCTACCAAGTGGTGGACGTGGTCCAGCCAAAGCCAAAGTGAACCAGTCAAGAGCAAATGTCATGGCAAAAGCTTTTTGAGATACTCAAGATACTTTGCTTGTTGACTTTCTAGAGGGCCAAAAAACCTGCCAATTAGGAGACTATTTTGAGAAACTTAGCCAAAGCTTTCGCAGAAAAATGCCTATGAAAGTTTCACCCGAGAGTCCTTCATTATAACAATGCTCCTGCTCATTCTTCTCAACAATAAGAGCAATTTTGTGAGAGTTTTGATGGAAAATTATTAGGCATCCATCTTATAGTCTTGATTTGGCTCCTTCTGTCTTCTTTTTGTTTCCTAATCTTAAAAACTCTTTAAAGGGCACTCATTTTTCTTCAGTTAATAATGTAAAAAAGACTTCATTGACCTAGTAAAATTTCCAGGATCCTCAGTTATTTAGGTCCGGACTAAACAGTTGATATCATTGCTTACAAAACTGTCTTGAACTTGATGTTGAGAAATAAAGTTTATATATTTATTTTCATATTTTCATTTTATTTTTTCATGAACTTTTAGAGGTCCGTGTATCTATACCAGATCTTGTATAAAACAAGATGTATGACTAAAAAGAATTTTGGAATGTGTGTGTGTGTGTGTGTGTGTGTGTGTGTATATATATATACATATATATATACACACACATATATTTATTTTATTATAAATATATATTATTCTTGGAGTTAAAAACATGTTAAAACATGTTAATATAATAAGTATATTTTAAGATTTGCTAATTGTCTTCTATGAAGAATAATGCTCTTTAAATCTCTCTTTAAAGCACCATATTATGGGATATATAAAAATATACAACATTAATTTGTGTCATACCCATATTTTTATATATTAGGTACTCTGGTGGTGTAAAGGATTTTAACATCTGTAGCTTGGATGACTTTAAATATATTTCTTCTCATAATGGCCTTACATGTCTTCAGACAAACCCTCTTGAAATGCCAACCTACACACACAGGAGAATATGTGGCAATGGGTTGTTGGAAGGAAGTGAAGAATGTGACTGTGGCACTAAAGACGTTAGTAGAATATTTTTTCTAAAATTTAAAAAATGTTCTAGTAGTAAAGAAGATAAATGCCTTATCTATTAGTAAAATAGATTTGAAAAATATATTCTTTGGAAAAGATGGGAGCCTTTGTTTTCTAATTTTATTATTTTTGGAAGCATGGTCCTTAGATAATTTTTGTCTTCAGTTATTGTCTTCTGACATTATTTAGTGTGTGTATTAGCTCCAAACGTAAATTTAATTACCACTAAGAGTGGTGAAGGGATTGAAAGATATACCCTCAACAACAAGCAGAAATAAAAACAGTTAACAACATCTAAAAACGGTAGATTATAACCAATGGGGTAGCAAAATGCATGGTTTGTTAATATAGGTAAAAACATTTTCTGTGGAAAGGTGATTCTAATTAAAATATTTTGAAATTAAATCTATCATAATTATAAAAAATATAAAAATATACAACCAAGATCAAACAAAAATAATTATAAAATATGATAAAGGGACATCCGCAAGATGGCCCATTAGACAGCACTAGAGGTGCCTAATGCTGGTCTCCCAACACAAGAGAGGACCAAAACAATGGATAAACAACTACATTTGACCAGAGTGAGTCATAGAGTGCTGGAGTACAGGAGGGGAGTGGCAAAAACCCAGTGGTGCACAGAAACTCAGAATGACTGCTTAGAGAGAAGAAGGAAACACTGCGGTTATGACAAGATAAACGCATAATGATAAAGAACAAGAAGTAAAACTCAGTCTGGCTTAGAAATATAGATTACTGGCAATCTTCAAAATAATAAAACTAATGAATCTTGCAAGTCATTGAATACAAAAGTCAACATATAACAATGAATTGGATTTCTGTGTAGAAACAGCGAACAGAAAATGAAATCAAAGGGACAATTCTACATATAATGTTTCCCAAAACATGATATGTATAGATATAACAAAATAACATGCAATTGTGCGCAATAAAAATTAACATTACTCAGGAAAAGCAAAAAACATTGAAATGAATGGAGACATTTCCCACTTTCATGGATTGGGAGACATAATATTGAGATTTCAGCTCTACACAAATGGATCCATACATTTAACACAGCCCCAACCAAAATCCACTTATCTTTTTGTAGAAATTGACAAGCTGATTCTACGATTGATATGGAAATGGAAATGACCTAGAATAAACCAAGCCATGAAAAGAAAAACAATAAATTGGAGCACATATGCTAATTTTCTATAAATTTCAATATTTTCTATGAAGTTATAATAATGAAAAGGTAGTATTGACCAAAGGATAAATATATACAATTAATAAAGTAGAACAGAGAATCCAGCTATAAAATAATATTTATATGGCCATTTTGCATGGTAAGACAAAGGGCTATTCAATGGGTGAAGAAAATCTTTCCAACAAAATTGTATGAACTAAACATATGTGTAAATAAAATAAAACTTCACCTCTCACCAGACACAAAAAATTGACTTGAAATAAATCAAAGACCTAAAAATTAGAGCTAAAGCTCAAAAACTTTTGGGATAAAACATAAGAGAAAATCTTTGTGACTGGTGGTAGGCAAAATTTTTTAGATTATGGCGAAAAGAAGAAGTTTAAAGAGAAAAATGATAAGTTGTACTTTCTCAAATTTAGAACCTTTTTCACTTAGACTCTGATAAAAATAAAATGGCAAGCTCCAGAATGTGAGAAAATATGTACAATTTGTATATTGACAAGTGGCTTTTATTCAAATATGTGAAAAGACAAGACTTAGTTTCTGGTCAGGTATCTAAGAC
Organism: Homo sapiens; assembly: GCF_000001405.40. NCBI lineage: Eukaryota > Metazoa > Chordata > Mammalia > Primates > Hominidae > Homo > Homo sapiens. The sequence goes on from NC_000008.11 coordinate 39,347,827, forward strand.
ACTTGGAAGTTGCCACTCCAATGTGTCAACTAGTAAAAAGGTGAACAGACTGAATAAGCTGCAACTCTTTTTAGATCTGTTGGAGAAGTGAGATCACAGGATGAAGCACTGCCCCCAAATTCAATAGACCAACAAGTGAATACAGAGGATCACAACTTGCTAGAACAGAAGCATGTGAGTTAAACTTTCACACAGCCAGCGCTGGAGTAGAAAAGCCTAAACTAAAATTGACAAATGTCAGAGGCTCAGTGTATGTAACTATGAGAGTTAAGAACTCCAGGAGGACCCAGTTATTGAGGTTGTTATCATATTTTTATGAGCTTTACCTCTAGAAGTTTAATCTTGTTCTCACAGTGAATATCAGAGAAAAATTCCCTGTGCTTCCAGAAGAAGGAGGAGAAAAGGAACCATTTTGAAATAAGTCAGAGTGTTCAGTTCCTACCAAAAAGAAATGGAAGGGAAAAATTAGGATGATTATGTTATTATGAATTACACTATCCCTGAAGTGGTATAGTGTTATTTGAAAGTGGACTTGGATTAGTTGTAAATGTATATTTTCATCTCTAGGGCCACCACTAAAAAAATGTTTTAAAAAAGTATAACTGATACACTAAGAAAAGATAGAAAATAGCATTGTAAAATGCTCAGTTAAACACAAAAGGCAGGCTGGGCATCGTGACGTGCACCTGTAGTTTCAGCTACTTGAGAGGATGAGGTGAGAGGATTCCTTGAACCTAGAAGTTCAAATCAGCCTGAGCAACATGGTGAGATCCTTTTTCTAAAAAGAAATAAAAAAGGAAAAGAAAAAAAAGACAAAAACAAGAAGAACCAAAGTCACACAAATAGAAAACAGCAATAAATATAGTAGTTATTAATTTAACTGTATTCATTATCACTTTGCTTTCAATGATTTAAGTGCACCAATTTAAAAAATAAAAGAGATTGTCAGAATGGATCAAAAACCAAGATCTAGCTCTCTGTTGTGGTGGGTAATACTGAGTGTCAGATTGACTGGAATGAAGGATGCAAAGTATTGTTCCTGGGTGTGTCTGTGAGGGTGTTGCCAAAAGAGATTAACATTTGAGTCAGTGGACTGGGAGAGGCAGTGGACTGGGAGAGACCCACCCTTAATCTGGGTAGGCACCATCTAATCAGCTGCCAGCACGGCCAGAATAAAAGCAGGCAGAAGAACATTGAAAGACTAGACTGGCTGAGTCTTCTGGCCTACATCTTTCCCCCATGCTGAATGCTTCCTGCCCTTGAACATCGAACTCCAAGTTCTTCAGCTTTGGTACTCTTGGACCTTCGACCACAGACTGAAGGCTGCGCTATCGGATTCCCTACTTTTGAGATTTTGGGACTGAGACTGGCTTCCTTGCTCCTCAGTGTGCAGATGGCCTATTGTGGGACCTCACCTTCTGATCATGTGAGTCAATACTCTTTAATAAACTCCCCTTTATATATACATCTATCCTATTTGTTCTGTCCCTCTAGAGAACCCTGACAAATACAGTTGTCTACAAGGAGCCCTCTTTAATATAAATATACATGTAGATAAAAATTACAGAATGGAGAAAAATATGCTATGCAACAGTGATAAAAAAAAATCCAGGAGTAGCTATATTAATTTCAGACAAGCAGTCTGCAGAATGAGGGACAATTATAATGACAAAGGGGTCAATTCTGCAAGAAGACATAACAATTTTTAATGTGTATGTGACTAACAACAGAGTATCAAAATACATGAGGCAAAAACTGATAGAACTGTAAGGAGAAATAGATGAATCTGTTATTATAGCTGGAGACTTCAACACTGCTTTATCAGAAAAAGGCAGATCCAGCAGACAAAAAATCAGTAAAGACATAGTGGAACTCAACAATAACTTTAACCAACTGGATATAATGGACATCTATGGATGACTTCATCCAACAAAAGAATACACATTTTTCTCAAAGTCATATTGAACATTCAGCAAGACAGGCCATGTTCTGAGCCACAAATACCACTAAACAAACTTCAAGGAATAGATACCATAAAATGTCTGACCTCAGACCACAGTGAAAATGAACTAGAAATTTGTAACAGAAAGATTGCTGGAAAGTCCCAAAAACTTGGAGATTAAAAATCACATGTCTAAATAACACATGGGTTATCTAAGAAATATCAGGAGAAATTTAAAAATAGTTTGAACTGAATAAAAATAAATACACAGTTATCAAAAGCCATGGTATTCAGCAAAACAGTGCTCAGAGTAAAGTTTATAACATTGGTTGCATGTATTAGAAAAGGAAAAATATCTAAAATCAACAGTGTAAGCTTCCACCTTAAGAAACCAGTAAAAGAACAAACTAAAGTAAGCATAAGAAAAAAAATAATAAAAATTAGAGCAGAAATCAATGAAACTGAAAACAATAAATTAATAGGTACAATCAATAAGATTAAAAGATGGTTTTTTGAAAAGATCAATAAAATTAATATGCCTCTTATCAGACTAAGAAAAAAGAGAAATGACACATATTACTAACATCAGAAATAAAAGAGAGTACATCACTACAGACAGGGTATTAAAAGGATGATCAAAGAGCTATATGAACAACTCTATGCCCACAAATTTTATAACTTAGATAAATTGACTAAATCCTTGAAATACAATCTGCCAGATTTAAACAAAAACAGACAATATTAATAGGCCTACATCTATTTAAGAAATTGAATAAATAATTAATAACCTTCCAGAAGAGAAAGCATCAGGCCCAGGTGAATTTACCAGTAAATTCTACTAATCATGTAAAGAAAAAACATATACCAATTCTCTATAGTCTCTTTTAGAAGATAAAAGCAAAGGAAATACTTCTTAACTTATTCTGTGAAGTCAGCATACTCAAATACTGAAAACCAAAATGAAGGCCTTACAAAGAAAGAAAACTACAAAACAGTATCACTCAAAAGCATAGAGGCAAAAATACCCAACAAAATATTAGCAAATAAATTCCAACAATGTATAAAAAGAATTGTACAACATAATCAGGTAGGATTTATCCCAAATGTGCAAGGCTAGTTCAACATTTGAAAATCAGCTAATGTAATCCATCACATCAACAAAGTAAAGGTAGAAAAATTATGTGATCATATTAATAGATGCATTAAAAGCATTTTATAGAAGTTAACAATCATTCATGATAAAAACACTGAGTAAATTAAGAATGACAAAAACTTCCTCAACTCAATTAAAAAATATCAACAAAGAACCGACCTGTGAGGAATTGGAAGCTTTTTCACTAAATCAGGAACAAATGAAGGATGTCCCCTTTCACCACTACTTTTCAATATCACACTGGGAGCCCTAGGTAATGCAATAAATGATAAATGTAAATAAATTGATACACATTCGGAGGAAGGAAATTAAAGTGTCATTGTTCCCAAATGGCATGATAGTCTATGTAAAAAATCTGAAAAAATCAGCAACAGCAAAAAACCATGTGAAACAAATAAGTGGTTATAGCAAGGTTGTAGGATACAAGGTTAATATATGAAAGTCAACCTTTTTCATATATACCAACAATGAACAGGTAGAATTTGAAATTAAAAATGCGATACCATCTACATTCTCATTCCCTGAAATTAAATACTTAGGTATAAATCTAAAAAAATGTTCAAGATCTATATGAGGAAAAGTATAAAACTCTGATTTTAAAAAAAGAAAAAACCAAATAAGTTAAGCAATATTCCATGTTTATAAATAGGAAAACAATATTTTCAGATGTCAGCTCTTCCAACTTTGATCTAGAAATTCAATGCAATTCCAATCAAAATCTCAGAAAAGTTGTTTGTGGATACCGATAAAGTAATTCTAAAGTTTGTATGGAGAGGCAATAAACCCAGAATAGTCACAATATTAAAGGACAATAACAAAGTTTGAGGACTGATACTACCTGACTCAAGAGTTACTATAAACGTACAACAATGAGGAAAGTGTAGTATTTACATAAGAATACACAGATAGATTGATGGAATGGGATACAGAGCCCAGAAATAGACCGATATAAATATAGTCAACTGATTTTTGACAAAGGAGCTAAGATCATATGATGGAACAAAGATAGTATTTTCAACAAATGGTGCTAGAACAACTGGATATCCATGTGCACAAATGTGAATATTGACACAAACCTTATACGTTTTGCAAAAACTAACTTAAAATGGATCACACTCCTAAATGTAAAATGCAAAACTGTAACACTTCTATGAGATAACATAGGAGAAAATCTAGAAGATCTTGGGTTTGGCAATGACTTTTTAGATTAAAAAAACCAAAGGCACATACATGAAATAAATAATTGAGAAGATGGGCTGTATTGAAATTTAAATAATGTCTCTCTGCAGAAGATGCTTTCAAGAAAATGAAAAGACAAGTCACAGATTTTTGAGAAAATATTTGCAAAAGACAGACATTATAAAGGACTTTATCCAAAATACACAAAGAACTTTTAAAGCTCAATTATACAGTTTGACTGTGTCCCCACCCTAATCTTGTCTTGAACTGTAGTTCCCAGAATCCCCACATGTGGGGGGAGGGACCCAGTGGGAGGTAATTTAATCATGGGGGTGGCTACCCTCATGTTGTTCTTGTGATAGTGAATTCTCATGAGATCTGATGGTTTTATAAGAGGCTTTTCTCCCTTTTGCTTGGTACTTCTTGCTGCAGCCATGTGAAGGATGTGTTTGCTCCCCTTTTGCCATGATTGTAAGTGTCCTGGCTCCCCTGCCAGCCATGCTGAACTATGAGTCAATTAAACTTTTTTTATAAATTACCCACTGGCAGGTATGTCTTTATTAGCAATGTGAGACTGAACTAACATAGTAAGTTGGTACCAGGAGTGGGAGGCTGCTGTGGAATTGACTTTGGAACCTAAAGATGTGGAAGTGGCTTTGGAACTGGGTAACAGGCGAAGATTGGAACAGTTTGGAGGGTTCAGAAAAAGACAGGAAGATGTGGGAAATTTTGGAATGTCCTTGAGACTTGTTGAATAGCTTTGATGAAAATGTTGATAGTGATATGGACAATGAAGTTCAGGCTAAGGTGGTCTCAGATGGAGATGAGGAGCTTCTTGGGAACTGCAATAAAAGTAATTCTTGCTATGCTTCAGCAAGAGACTGGCAGCATTTTGCTCCTGCCCTAGAGATCTGTGGAACTTTGAACTTGGGAGAGATAATTTAGAGTATCTGGCAGAAAAAATTTCTAAGCAGCAAAGCATTCAAGATGTGACTTTTTAAAATTTATTCACAAAGATATTGTTTGGAATTGGAACTTATGTTTAAAAGGGAAACAGAGCATAAAAGTTTGGAAAATTCACAGGCTGATGATGTGATAGAGAAGAAAAAAAAAACCATTTTCTGAAGAGAAAGAGAAATTCAAGCTATCTCCAGAAATTTGCATAAGTAATGAGGAGCCAATGTTAATCACCAAGACAATGGGGAATATATCTCCAGGGCATGTCAGAAGGGCAGCCCTTCCCATCACAGACCCAGAGGACTAGGAGGAAAAATGGTTTCATGGGCTGGGCCCAGGGTCTTGCTGCTTTGTGCAGTCTCAGGATTTGGTGTCCTACATCCCAACCATGGCTAAAAGGGCAGAGGCACAGCTCAGGCTATGGCTTCAAAGGGTGCAAGCCCCCCAAGCCTTGGCAGCTTCTACGTGGTGTTTAGCCTGTGGGCACACAGAAGTCAAGAATTGAGGTTTGGAACCTCTGCCTAGATTTCAGAGGATGTATTGAAATGCCCGGATGTCCAGGCAGAAGTTTGCTGCAGGCTGGCACCCTCATGGAGAACCTCTGCTAGGGAAGTGCAAAAGGGAAATGTGGGGTTGGAGCCCCTCCCAAAGAAGTCCCCACCATGGCACTGCCTAGTGGAGCTGTGAGAAGAGGGCCACCATTCTCCTGAACCTAGAATGGTAGATCCATTGACAGCTTGCACTGTGCACCTGGAAAAGCCAGAGACACTCATGCCAGCCCACAAAGAAAGCTGGGAGGGGTGCTGTACCCTGAAAAGCCACAGGGGCACAGTTGCCCAAGGCTGTGGGAACCCACCTCTTGCATCAGTGTGACCTGGATGTGAGATGTGGAGTCAAAGGAGATCATTTCAGAGCTTTAAGATGTGACTGCCCCAATGGATTTTGGACTTGCATGGGGCCTGTAGCACCTTCATTTTGGCCAATTTCTCCCATTTGGAATGGATGTATTTATGCAATGTCTATACCCCATTGCATCTAGAAAGTAACTAACTTGCTTTTGATTTTACAGGCTTATAGGCAGAAAGAACTTACCCTGCTGGGAAAGCATGATTGTGTTTTAAAATGTGACGACATGAGATTTGGGAAGGGCCATGGGCACAATGATATGGTTTTGCTGTGTCCCCACCCAAATCTCATTTTGAATTGCAGTTCTCATGATCCCCATGTTTTGTGGGAGGGACCCAGTGGGAAGTAATTGAATCATGGAGGTGGTTACCCTCATGCTGTTCTTGTGATAGTGAGTGAGTTCTCATGAGATCTGATAGTTTTATAAGGGGTTTTTCTCCCTATTGCTTGGCACTTCTCCTCGCTGCAGCCATATGAAGAAGGACATGTTTGCTTCCCATTCTCCCATGACTGTAAGTGTCCCGAGGCCTCCCCAGCCATGCTGAACTGTGAGTCAATTAAACCTCTTACCTTTATAAATTACCCAGCATTGGGTATGTTTTTACTAGCAGTTTGAGAAGAGACTAATACACTCAACAGTAAGAAAACAAACAACCTGAGTAAAAAAGAGCCAAGGACTTTAACAGACACCTTGCCAAAAAAAGGTATACAGATGGCAAATATGAAAAGGTGTGCCACATCATATATTATTGCTGAAATGCAAATTAAAACACCAAGGTACCACTACCTACCTATTAAATGATCAAAAATCTAGAACACTAAAAACACAAAATGCTGATGAGGCTGTGGGGCAACAGGAATTCTCATTCATTATTTAATAAGCAAGATGAGTGGAATGCAAAATAGCACAGCCATTTTGGAAAATAGGATGGTGGTTTCTTTTAAAACTAAATATGCTCTTACCATATTATCTGGCAATCACTCTCTTTAGTATTTTACCCAAAAGAGTTGCAGATTTATGTCCACATATAAACATGCACACAGATGTTTCTAGTAGCTGCACACAGATGTTTCTAGTAGATTAATTTTTAATTGCCAAAACTTGGAAGCAACTAAAATATTTTTGAATAGGTAAATGAATAAATAGTCTTTGCTGCATTGGACAATGGAACAATGCTCTAAAAATATTGTCTATTAAATAAAAAGTGCTAAAAAGAAATGAGCTATCAAGCCATGAAAAAACATGAAGAAATCTAAGATATGTATTACTAGGTCAAAGAAGCCATCTGAAAAAGCTGTGTACCACATGGTTTCAACTATATGACATTCTAGAAAAGATAACAGTATGGGGACAGTAAAAAGATCAGCAGTTGCCAGGGGTTAAAGGGACGGGAGGGATGATTAGGTAGAACACAGAGGACTTTTAGGACAGTGAAACTACTCTGTATGATACTGTGGTGGTGGATACATGTCATTATAAATTTTTCAAACACATACCATGTACAACACCAAAGTAAACCCTAACTAATGTAAAATTGAACTCCAGGTGTAATGGTGTGTCAAGGTAGGGTTATCATTTGTAACAAATGTACCACTCTGATCTGTTGATAAGGAGGGAGGCTGTGTATGTGTGTGGGCGAGGCATGTGGAAAATCTCTGTACCTTCTGCCCAATTTTGCTGTGATCCTAACAATGCTCTAAAAATATTTTATATTAAACAAAATTTAAAAAGACAAAATCTGTATTTCTTGAGAGTACATATTATAACTCAATTAAAAGGAGACAAATGACCTAATAAAATTAGGCAAAATAATTTGGACAGTTTACAGTAGATTATTTATAAATGACAATAAGAAAATGAAATGATGTTTAATATCACTAGTCATCTGGGAAAAATAATTAAAACCACATCATATATACTGCACACATATTAGAATGTCTGTAATAATACATCCCCTTCTGATAAAAATAGTGAGTTTTGTTGAGATGTAGAGCAACTGAAATTTGTGTAAATTGCTAGTTGGGTGTAAAAATATTTGAAGCATTTTGGCCATGTCTTATAAAGTTAAATATATACTTTCCTTTTGACCTAGATTTCCATCTCTGAGTATTTTTTTTCCAAAGAAATGAAAATATATATCCCCCAAAATATTTCTACATGAATGTTTAGAGCTGCTTTATTCATGGCAGCCAAATACTAGAAATAATCCAAATACCTATCATTATTTGGACAGATACATTGTGGTATTTCTAGTCATTGGAAAACTACTCAGCAATAAAAAATGAACAAAATGCTGGTAAATTTATCACCATTGGTGAATCACAAAAAAGATTATGCTGATTGAAATGAGCCAGATTCACAAGGTTATGTGATATATGATTCTGTTTCTGTAAAATTATAAAAAAATGGCAAGTAATCTTTAGTGTGAAGAAGTGGTTGACTTCAATAAGTAGGAGATATCTCTGGTCGGCAATGGAAGTGTTCTGTAACTTGATTATATGAGTAAATGCATATGGCAAAATTCATTAAACTAAACATTTTAAATGGGTGTAGTTTATTGCAATTAAGTTAGTTGAAGGGTACATGCTTTCAGTTATGCAAGAATACCCTCTACTGTAAATTTATGTAGCCAGAATACTTCTCCCAGAATACTTTTGTTGATTCTGTAGTTAACTCAGTGTATGATTGTGATTCAACCATGATTTGATAATTGGAGTTCTATCCTAATTTGCTAACTCTTACCGAGTAAATTCATCTTTATTAAATCTGGTATATTAGTTGCTGTTGAATTATTTCTCAACCTCATACAAATTATATTAATTAACCCAAAACCTTTTAGCACGCACACCAAGACAATCAACAAAACCTGATTTGGGCCCTGATTTGTAGCACTTGCTGAATTCCTTCCTTTAAACACTCCCACAATGGCAGATTTAAAGTGACAAATGCAACATTATTAAATGCAGAGTTGGAAAAATGTGAATGGTAGCAGATCATTATACAGTATTTCCACCAAAAATTAATAATAGACATTAATATTTTCAAGAGCATAGGTAAAATTAAAATGTAGGAAAATAAGAAATGATGTTTTCAATATTTGTTACCTTTTAAAAATTTAATTTATTTCATTGTAAGTTAATGAAATTCAATTTTTATTAATGGCTTTGTTAGCAACCTGTTCACAAAATTTCTGAAAATTTAACAATTGGCCCTTGCAAGCCAGAACAGGGTTGGTCCAGCACACTAGGACATGTAATAATTCTAAATTAAAAATCACGCAAACATAGTTTCAAAATATTTTAAAGCGAAATTTTACTATGAGGAGAGACAGACAAATTCACAATCACTTTAAGAGTTGTTAACACATCTTTGGCAGGAAACAATAGAAAAAGCAAATGAAGGCCAGGCACAGTGGCTCACAGCTGTAATCCCAGCACTTTGGGAGGCCAAGATGGATGGATAGCTTGAGGTCAGCATTTTGAGACCAGCCTGACCAACATGGTGAAACCCCGTCTCTACTAAAAATACAAAAATTAGCCGGGTGTGGTGGCAGACGCCTGTAATCCCAGCTATTTGGGATTACTATAAGAAAAGATTCATTAAAGAGGGTAGGAAGGACAGTTTTACATTACCTGCATCGCCCCTCCCTGAACCCCAGGCAGCACCGCACAGCACAGCACAGCATAGCACAGCACAGCACAGCGAAAGATACTGTCTGCTTGCCAGAAAAAGAGGGAAGTGAGACTTGGACTGTACCTTTTAACCAATACCAGGTCAACCGCAGTAAAACCTGGCACTGGGCAGATGCCCAAGGCCCTTGAATCTTAGCTGGTAATTATGATCTGAGCTTTCAGACCTGCCGCAGCACCAAACAGTAACCTCTAGCCCCTGCAAGATGGCCTCAAGTTTCGGCCTGCATCACCACCCACCTACTACAACAGTGTTGGGCTTCAAAAGCCCACAGTGACAAGGTGACTTCAGCAGCTGGGAGGGTTGAATTCTAGCCCAGTGTAACTTTAGCAGCCAAGAGATTGAAAATCAAACAGGAATCCTGGAACTGAAAATACAATGAATGATGTTTAAAAATGCAGTAAAGAGTGCAAACAGCAGAACTGATAAAGCCAAAGAAAGAATCTGTGAAATAGGAGATAACTATTTTGAAAATATTCAGTTAGAGGAGAAAATAGAAAAAGAATGAAAAGGAATGAAGAAAACTCACAGGCTTTATGGGGCACCATCAAAAAAGGTAATATATGAGCAGCTGGTGTTGAAGAAAGAATAAAAAAGATGAAGAGATAGATGGTGGCCGGGTGCGGTGGCTCACGCCTGTAATCCCAGCACTTTGGGAGGCCCAGGTGGGCTGATCACAAGGTCAGGAGATCGAGACCATCCTGGCTAACACGATGAAACCCCGTCTCTATTAAAAATACAAAAAAATTAGCCAGGTGTGGTGGTGGGCGCCTGTAGTCCCAGCTACTCGGGAGGCTGAGGCAGGAGAATGGTGTGAACCCGGGAGGCGGAGCTTGCAGTGAACCAAGATCGCACCTCTGCACTCCAGCCTGTGGGACAGAGTGAGACTCCATCTCAAAAAAAAAAAAAATAGCTTATTTACAGAAATAATAGAAGAGAAAACTCTCCAAACCTAGAGAAAGATATACTCCACGTACAGGAAAAGTCAAAAGTCTCCAATTAGATTCAATCCAAATAATCAATAAATGTATATGTTCTAATTGATCCCTATCCAGCCATTCCCCTGTCTTTCCCTCTCCACAGGCTTTTCTGTTCCTTGAAACACAACAATATTGACATTAGACCAATTAATAACCATACATGGCCTCTAAGCGTTCACCAGAAAGAAAGTTTCATGTTTTTCATTTTAAGTCAAAAGCTAGAAATGATCAAGATTCCTGCGACAGGCATGTCAAAAGCTGAAATAGGTTGAAAGCCAGGACTTTGTGCTAAACAGTTAGCCAAGTTAGGAATACAAAGGAAAGTTCTTGAAAGAAAGTAAAAGCACTAGCCCAGTGAACACACAAATGATAAGAAAGCAAAACAGGCTTATTGCTGATATGGAAAAAGTTTTAGTGGTTTGGATGGAAGATCCAACCGGCCACAACATTCCCTCAAGCCAAAGCCTAATCCAGAGCAAGGACCTAACTCTCTTTAATTTTATGATGGCTGAGAGAAGTGAGTAAGCTGCAGGAGAAAATTTTAAGCTAGCAGATGTTTGTTTATAAGATTTAAGGAAAGAAGATTTTTCCATAGCATGAGTGCAAGGTGAAGCAGCAAGTGCTGATACAGAAGCTGCAGCAAGTTATCCAAAAGATCTAGCTAAGATCATTGATGCTGGTATCTACACTAAACAATGGATTTTCAGTGTAGATGAAACAGCCTTTTATTGAAAAAAGATGCTAATATAGTTTGGCTATTTGTCCCTATCCAAATCTCTGTTAAATTGCAATCCCCACTGCTGGAGGTGGGGTCTGGTGGGAAGTGTTTGGATTTTGGGGGTGGATCCCTCATGGCTTGGTGCTATCTTCACGATAGTGATTAAGTTCTCATGAGATCTGATTGGTTAAAAGGGTGTGGCATGTCTCCCTTCTCCCCCAACCAACTCCCTCTTGCTTTGGCTCCTGTTCTTGCCATGTGATGTGCCTGACCTCCTTTGCCTTCTGCCATGAATGGAAGCTTCCTGAGGCCTCCCCAGAAGAAGATGCCACTATGTTTCCTGTACAGCCTGCAGAACCATGAATCGATTAAATGTCTTTTCTTGTAAAGTACTCAATCTCAGATACTACTTTATGGCAGTGGAAGAATGGCCTAATACCGATGCTTTCTAGGACTTTCATAGCTAGAGAGAATTTAATGCCTGGCTTCAAAGCTTTAGGCTGACTCTCTTGTTATGGGCTAATACAACTGGTGACTTTAAGTTAAAGCCAATGATCATTTATCATTCCAAAAATCCCATGACCCTTAAGAATTGCGCTAAATCTGCTCTGCCTGTGCTCTATGTTGGAACAACAAAGCCTGGATGACAGCATATCTGTTTACAGCATGGCTTAATGAATATGTTCAGCTCATTGTTGAGACCCAATACTCAGGAAAAAAAGATTCCTTTGAAAACATTACTGCTCATTGACAATGCGACTAGTCACCCAAGAGCTCTGATGGAGATGTATAAGCAGATTAATGTTTTCATACCTGCTTAACACAATATCCATTCTGCAGCCCATGGTCAGACAAATGATCAAGGAGTCATTTTGACTTTCAAGCCTTATTATGTAAAGACTCTAGCTGCCATAGATAGTGTCTTCTGATGGGTGTGGGCAAAATTATCTAAAAATCTTCAGAAAGGATACACCATTTAAAATACCATTAAGAACATTTGCAATTCATAGATGGAGATCAAAATATCAACATTAACAAGAGTTTGGGAGAAGTTGATTCAAACTTTCATGGATGACTTTGAAGGGTTCAGGATTTCAGTGGAGGAGGTAGATGCAGATGTGATACAAATAGTAAGAGAACTAGAATTAGAGTCTGAAGATGTGACTGAATTGCTGCAATCTCCTAATAAAACTTGAATTGATGAGGAGTTGCTTCTTATGGATGAGCGAAGAAAGTGATTTCTTGAGATGGAATATATTCCTGGTGAAGGTACTGTGAACATTTTCAAAATGACAATATAGGATTTGGAATATTACATAAACAAAGTTGATAAAGCAGTGACAACATTTGAAGGGATTGACTTCAGTGTTGACAGAAGTTTTACTGTGAGTTAAATGCTATCAAACAGCATTGCATGCTACAGAGAAATCTTTCAGGAAAGAAAGAGTCAATTGATGTGGCCAATTTCATTGTTGTCCTATTTTAAGATATTGCCACAGCCACTTCAATTGTTAATAGCCATGACCCTGATTAGTCAGCGCCATCAACATTGAGGCAAGATCCTCCAGCAGCAAAAAGATTACCAGTAAACTGAAGGCTCAGATGATTGTTATCACTTTTTATCAATAAAATATTTTTTAATTAAAGTATGTATATTTTTTAGGCATAGCGCTATTATACACTACAATATAGTGTGAACACAACTTATATGCACTGGGAAACCCCAAAACTTATGTGGCTTGCTTTATTACTGTATTTGTTTTACTGAGGTTCTCTAGAACTGAATCCACAATACCTCTGAGGTACATCTATATATAGAAAACTCCACCAAAAAAACAAAACAAAACAAAAAAAAAACAACTGTTAGATTTAGTACATAAATTCAGTAAAGTTGTAGGATACAAAATGTACATACTAAAGTCAGTGGTGTTCCTATACATTAATAGTGAATTATCTCAAAAAGAAATCAAGAGAACAATCCCATTATGATAGATAAAAATAAAATACTTAAGAATAAATTTAACCAGGGAGTTAATTGATGTCTACACTGAAAACTAAAAAATATTGATGATAGAAATTGAAGACACAAATAAATGGAAAGCTATCCCCTGTTCATGGATTGGAAAAATTAATATTGTTAAAATATCTATAATACCCGAAGCAATCTACAGGTTAATTGCAATTCTTATCACAATACTAATGACACTCTTCACAGAAATAGAAAAATAATTCCTAAAGTTCAAATGAAATCAGAAAAGACCCCCAATAGCCAAAGCAATCTTGTGCAAAAAGAACAAAGCTATAGGCATCACACTACCTGACCTTGAAATATACTACACAGTTATAGTAACCAAAACAGCATGGTACTGGCATAAAACCAGATACTTAGACCAATGGAACAAAATACAGAGCCTGGAAATAATTCCACTCATTTACAGTCAACTGATTTTCTACAAAGGTGCCAAGAATACATAACTGAAGAAAGGATAGTTTCTTCAATAAATGGTGTTGGAAAAACTGGATGTCCACATACAGCAGTATGAAGTTAGATCCTTATCTCTCTCCATGTGCAAAAATAAAACCGAAATGGATTAAAGACTTAAATATAAGACTCAAAGTTGTAAAACTACTTGAAGAAAACAGGGAAAAAGCTTTATGACATTGTTCTGGTCAGTTATTATTTCGGACATGACTTCAAAAACATAGACAACAAAAGCAAAAATATACAAATGGGATTATATCAAGCTGAAAAGCCTCTGCACAGCAAAGGAAACAATCAAAAACGTGAAGAGAGAATCTACAGAATGGGAGAAAATATTTGAAAACTATACATCTGATAAGGGTTAATATCCAAAATACATAAGGAATTCAAACAACTCAATAGCAAGAAAACAACCCAATTAAAAAATGTGGAAAAGATCTGAATAGGCATTTCTCAAAAGGAGTCATATAGATGGCCAATAGGTATATTTAAAAAGTGCTCAATATTACTATCTTGAGTATCTTGTCAATCAAAACCACAATGAGCTATCACCTCACTTCTGTTGGAATGGGTATGATCAAAAGACCACAGATAACAAGTCTTGGCAAGGATATGGAGTAAAGAGCACCCCTACACACTGTTTATAGGCTTGTAAATTAATACGGCCATTATGGAAGACAATAGGGGAGTTCCTCAAAATATTAAAAATAGAATTACCATGAGACCCAGTGATTCCTCTACTGGGTATGTATCCGAAGGAAATAAAATCTGTTTGTTGAAGAGACATTAACACTCCTGTGTTTATTCCAGCACTATTTACAATAGCCAAATTATGGAATCAACCTCTGTGTCCATCAGCAGATGATTGGATAAAGACAGTGTGGTATACATACACAGTGGAATACTATTTAGCCATAAAAAGTAGGAAATTCTGTAATTTGTGGCAGTATGGTTAAACTGGGAGGATATTATCTTAAGATAAATAAGCCAGGTACAGAAAGACAAATAACGTATAATCATACTCGTATGTAGAATCTTAAAAAGTTGATCTCATAGAATTAGAGATTAGAATGGTTGTTTCAGGGAGGAAGGAATGGGGAGATGTTGGTTGAAGGATGTGTAATTAAGTTAGAGAGGGGGAATAAATTCAAGATAACTATTGTATAGCATAGTTACTATAATTATGTTGTATTTTTGACAAATGCAGAGAATGGATAATAATGTTCTCACTACAAAAGAACTATATATATAGTTCACTTTAAAATATTGTGTTGTATATGATAAATACATGTAATTTTACCTATCAACTAAAAAATTCCCAAATAATTTTTCACACCCAGCAGAGTTCACTGAAATACTCTGGGAAAATGAAACAAACTCTGAAACAGGGTAAATGACAGACATCCATAAGATTGGAGGGAGTGTATGCTTTTAAAATTAAGTCATTATAGGCTCTATAAGCAATTTCAGAAAAAAAATAACATTCTCAAAAAAAAAATTTCAAGGCTTGGCATCTTTGAACTAAGAGAATGTTGTAAAAATAGAACAAAATAAAACTGAAGGTGAATAAAGTGAAGAATCATTACAGATAAACTACATTCACAATTTAAACTTAAGATAAATGCCAAACTTAGAGAATATCAGAATTCTTATGGCTCAAACTAGTTATTGACATGGAAGATAAATATGAGAAATTACAGCCAAATGTAAGGATTATAGCAGAGAGAAAAACAGAAAAAAATAGATAGCACTGAACACACAGATAGTAAGTTTTTAAAATCAATATAAAAAATCAGTGGCTTCCAGCATTCTGTTTAGCTTTTTCATATTATTCCTAAAATTACGTAGAGTAACAATGTGCAGATCAAACCTTGCCAAAATAGGATGAGATAAAATGTTGGCATTAGAAGCAGACAGGTTCATTTAAAGCTTAAAGTTATTTGTTCATTCACTAATTCAGGAAATAGTTTACTCCACACTATCTAGTGGGAGATAGTAAACAGAATAAACATATAAGCAAACAAACACTAAACAAGATAGTTTCAGACAGTGATAAGTGATTTAAAAATAAAATAAAATAGGACGATAGAATAAAAAGTGAGGGAAGAGGGTATTTTAGCCAGAGTAAACAGGAAATGTCTTTCTGAGGGGTGACATTTGAGCTAAAACCTTAATGACAAAGAAAATAATTGGCATAGAGGCTTCAGGGAATAAATGAAGTGGTAGAGAGATCCTTATTTTGGACATGACTTCAAAACATAGACAACAAAAGCAAAAATATACAAATGGGATTACATCAACCTGAAAGGAAGATGTATACATAAAGGAAGAAAAGTGGCCTGTTTTGCTCTAATTTAATGACTAATAGAGAAATAGTGTACTGGTCCTAGTCAATGTGACTCTTCAGAATTATTCAGCCATGATTTTTTTTTTCTCAGTGTTACTGATGGAGAAACAAAAGTACGTAGCTAACAGTTATTTTCAAAGTATGGATTCTATCAAAATTGTCAACTCAAATCATAATTAGGTAAGATGATTTAGAACCACATTCTAAAATGTTGTTGACTGCATGTTCTCACTTATAAGTGGGAGTACACATGGACACAAAGAAGGAAACAGCAGACACCAGGGCTTAGATGAGAGTGGAGGGTGTGAGGAGAATGAGGATCGAAAAACTGCTTATCGGGTAAGCAGATAAGCTTACCTGGGTGACAAAATTATCTGTGCAGCAAATCCCTGTGACACATAATTTACCCATGTAGCAAACCTGCATATGTGTCCCTTGAATGTAAAAAAAAGTTGGAAAGAAAAAAAAAAAGGAGATATTAAGCTAAAAAAAAAATGTGGTTGACTAATCAAACAATTTTTAAATTGGTTCCTGTTTTAAAGGTGATAAAAATGATTTCATTTGCATGTGAATATCAGCTTCTGAATTTACCAGCAGATTTGCTATAGTGTAGTGGTGGATGGTTTACCAGACAGAGTTTATGTGACTATTGAAATGGGCTCCATCATGGTTTGATGCTCAATTCTAATGCCAGATTGTTTTGAGAAGAAATGTTTCATGTGCTCTTTCCAGAGACAAATCTCCTGATAGAGCAATTACACAGGATATTTGGTAAAGCTCTGGCCAGTTTGATAATTCACTACGTAAGTCCAGATAGCCTGACTGGTGAATTCTAACAAATATTTAAAGAAGGGATAATACAAAAATACTCCACAATCTTTTGCATAAAATAGAAGAGGAAGGAACCCTTCTAAATTTATTTTATGAGAACAGTATTACCTTGATACTAACGCTAGACAAAGACAAGAAAAGAAAACTATAGATCAATATCCCTCACGAATATGGATGCAAAAAGTCCTTTAAAAATGGCAAACAGAATAAAGAAACATAAAAGGAAGTATCCAACATGACCAAAAAGGATTATCTCAGTAATGCAAAAGTGGTATAGTTAATGTAACACACCATACTAACATAATAAAGGACAAGAAAATACAAGATCATCTCAAATGATGCAGAAAAGGGATATAACAAAATGTAACACCCATTATAGATTATTAACAAATTGTAAATAGAAGGGAACTTCCCCTACCTGATGCAAAGTATTTATGAAAAACCTACAGCTAACATCATACTAACCATGAAATTCTCACTGCTCTCCACCCTAAAATCAGAATGAAAGTGAGGATGCAAGCTCTCAGTACTTCTACTAAACATTGTATTGGAGGTCCAAGAGAGTAAAATCAGGTAGGAATAAAAATTAAAATGCATCTAACTTGGAAGACAAAAAGTATAACTGTCTTTATTTGCAGATTACACCACCCCGTGTATGTAAAATCTTAGGAAATTTACCAAAATACCTGTTTGAATAAATAAATGAATTCAGCAAAGTCACAGGATACCCAATTGCTATGCAAAAATGAATTGCACTTCTATATATTAGCAATGGAAAATAGAAAAATAAAATTAAGAATAGAATTTCATTCACAATAGCATAAAAATACATACTTAGGCATATATTAAGAATACAAAATATACATGCAAACAACAAAAAATTTCTGAGAAAAATACAAAAACCTAAATAAATGCTGAGATCTTCCATGTGAATGGGTTGAAAAATGGTATTGTTAAGACAGCGATTCTCCCTTCTGTCAGGGATCCCCAGTATTACCCCTTGGTTCAGTAAATCAGTAGGAAGACTCACGTGATTGAGCATAGAATGTACTCATCACTATAATTTATTACAGAAAAAGGATACAAAGCAAAATTAGCAAAGGAAAAAGGCTCATGGGTCAAGTATGAAGGAAAGTAGTCACAGGCTTCCAAGAGTCATTTCCTAGTAGAGTCACCCATGATGGACTTAATTCCTCCAGCAATGAATTATGACAATATGTGTGAAATCTTGACTGCCGGGAACCCAGACCCTAAGATTTTTATTAGAGGCTGGTCACATAGGCATCGTTTGCCTAGTATCTACCCAAATTCCAAATTCTTAGATGGAAATTGGTTGTTCACTATAAATAACAAGGTCTAAACAGTTCAGGCACAGTGACTTATTAGTTAGGCAATGGTGTGGGAACGGTAACTGAGGTGTCAGCCAAAGGCCAGCTTTCGAATATACCTTTCTAAGTATAGCAGTCTGAAGTCTGCTATGTTAACTCTTCTGTACATCTCTAAATTGATCTATGGATTTAAGACAAGCTTTGGCGAAATTCTAGTAGGCTTCTTTGCAGAAATTGATGACATAATCCTAAAAATTCTGGAAATGCAAGGCACCCAGAAGTGCTAAAACAATCCTGAAGAACAAATTGATGGAGTCACCATTTCATATTTCAAAAATTACTACAAAGCTAAAGTAATCTAGCTTAACATTGTACTGGCATAACATTAAATACATGGATAAATGGGATGGAATTGAGAGTCCAGAAATAAACTCTTATATTTATAGTCCATTGATTTTTGACAAATGTGTCAAGACAATTTGATAGAGGAATAATAGTCTTTTCAGCAAAGGCTATTGGGACAATTCAATATCCACATACAAAAATGTAAATTTGGACCCTTTTATCATGCCATACACAAAATTTAACTCAAAATAGACAATCAACCTAACTGCAGTAGTTAAAACTATACATCTATTGGAAGAAAACATAGGAAAAATTATTCATAACCTTGGATTTGGCAGAAACTTCCAAGACACAACATCACAAGTATAATTCATAAAAGAAATAGTTGGTAAACTGGACTTTATCAAAATTAAAAACCTTCGTGCCTCAGAAAACACTATTAAGACAATAAAAAGACAAGTCACAGAGGGGAAGAAAATATTTACAAACTGTGTTTCTGATATAGTACTTGTATACAGAATCTATTAATAATGCTAACAACTCAATAATTGAAGGGAAACAATCCAATTACAAATGTATGAAATATTTGAACAGGTAAAATACCTGTTCAAAGAAGATAGGCAAATATATACAAAGTTATATACAATGATATACAAAATATATAGAAATATATACAAAATAATTACATAGAATAATAAATACATGAAAAATAGTAAAGACATTGTTAGTCATTAGCAATGTGTATATTCAAACAAGATACTACAAGACACCCACTAGAATGGCTGTAATCAAATGACAGAAAATAACAAATACTGGTGAAAACATAGAGAAACAGGAACTCATAGACTGCTAGTAGGACCAAAAAATGGTGTTGCTACTTTGGGAAACAGTTTGACAGTCTGTTAAGCAGTTTAACATAAGTTTACCAATTGAACGAAGGATTCTACTCCTAGGTCTACTCAAGATAAATGAAAACACGTATTTACAAAAATTCGCATATGGATGTCTATAGCAACATTATTCAACGACCAAAATCTGAAAACAACTCAAATATCTATAAACTAATTGACAAAAACTATGATATATCCATACAATGGAATACTAGAGAGCAATAAACGTTGACAGAATACTCATACATACTACAATCTCAAAAACACTACTGTGCAAGAGAAGCTAAATACAAAACCCCACCCATTTTATCATTTTATTTGTAGAAGAGGTCCCAAAATGCAAATTTATAGAGACAGTAAGTAGATTAGTGGTTACCTGGGGCCAGCCACAGACATGGGGATTAACTATAAATGGATACCTGGGATCTTATCCTATGCTAATAGAAATGTCCTAAACTTGGGTTGTGGTGCTGGTTGCACAACTATGTAAATTTTCTTAAAATATCACTAAAGTGTACACTTAACATAGGTGAATTTTATGGTATGTACGTTATAAATTAAACCTCAATAAAGTTAAAAACAGAAAAGGTCACCCTGATGAAGATAAACTCCCACCTAGTGGACAAGAAACATGTTTCTCCTGAATTTAGTGATTGTGGACTCAAGAGTTGTGTTAGTTGATAATAAGTGAAAAAAATGATTTCAGCATATCTGTAGGCCATGGGAAATATTTATTAAAATGGTGTCCTTGAAGGTTTTACAGTGAGAATTGTAGAATGATGGAAATGTCATCCAGTATGTCAGTGGAGCAGATGATATCTCTAAAAAGAAAAAGTAAATAAGAATATGTAGGTGTTATTGAAAATAATATCACATTGTGAGAAACAATGTGGCATAACAGAACAAAACTGAAATCAGAATGTTTGGATTTAAATTTGTGTCTATACTTTTGTCTCTCATAATGTCATATAGTTGTAAGAATATACGCATGTAGCCTTTTCAGATTGGCTTTTTTCCATTACCAACATATATTTATAGTTCATCTATGTTCTATAGCTATAGTTCATGGCTTGGTAGCTAATTGCTTTTTATAGCTGGATAATATTCAATTATATGAATGTACCAGAGTTTACTTATGTATTTATCTATTGAAAGACATTTAATTTACTTCCCAATTTTGGCAATTATAAATAAATCTGTAATAAGCCTTTAAAAAATAAAAAATTCCATTACCCATCTTGTCGAGTCACATTATAGGCTCACAATTTCCTAACTTTAAAAACAGTGTTTGTTCTAATTATTTAACAGATATATATTTGGGGTGCAATGTATTTGAAAATTGTTTTTTTGAAATATGCTAATTCAGTAAGCTATTCTTTTTTATAATACATTTTATTTGAGATTGCTACAGATTTCTGGACACACACACACGCACACATGCACACACATGAATAAGCAAAAAATAATAGATTGACCCTGAAAAAAGCATAATTTTCAAAAAATTATAAGGGCTACTCTCATAATATACAATTAATGTGTCAGAGTTTTATTCAACTCATTAATGAGGGAACTAGAAAGAATAATAGGCTTGTTCAAGAGTAAGTAACAAAACTAGATAAATAGGATTTGGAAACAAAAGAATGTTAGCATAATATTACTATGTTCAAAACTGGTTAATATCCACAGGAAAAAAACAATAACTTATTTGGTTATCTTTTCTAAATGACAGGAATTATTTCCTATTCTATCAGACAAAAACCTAAAAGTTAATATGTAACTTCACAAAGTCTATGACAATTAATCAATATTTCTTAGTTTCATTACTTTTTTCTAGCCTCTATTTCATTTATTTCTGTTCCTATCTTTATTTCCTTTTTTCTACTAACTTTGGATTTTGCTTTTTCTAGTCCCTTGAGGTGTAATTACATTAGGTTGATTATTTGATATCTTTCTTCTTTTTTGATGTAGATATTTATTGCTATAAACTTCCCCACTGGAATGATTTTTGCTGCATCTGATAAGTTTTAGTATATTGTGTGACTATTATTGTTTGTATCAAGATATTTCACAATATTTTTAAATTTTCATTTTAAGTGCCTCTTTGATCCATTGATTGTTCAGCAGTATGTTGCTTAATTTTCATATACTTGTAAAATTTCCAAATTCCAAGTCCTGTTATTGACTTCTTGTTATATCAATGTGGTGAGAAAGATACTTGATACTATTTTAATTATTTTAAATTTTCTAAGACTTACTTTGCTGCCTGACATATGATCTATCCTGGAGCATATTTCATGTGTTCTTGAGAAAAATATATATTCTGTTGCTGTTTGATAGAATGTTTTTTATGTGTATAGTAGGTCCATTTGGTCTAAAGTGTAGTTTGAGTCTGATGTTTTCTTATTAATTTTCTGTCTGGATTATCTGTCTGTTGTTGAAAGTGGAATATTGAAGTCCATTATGATTATTGTATTACAGTATATCTCTTCTTTAAAATCTATTAATATTGATATATATCATACTTTATATATTATATATATTATACACACACAATTACTACTAGACCTCAGAAATGAAGTTGATGGCAACACAATGATAGTGGGGGTCTTCAATGCTCCACTGAGAGCACTAGAAAGGTCCAAGACAGAAAGTCAACAAAGAAACAATGGACTTAAAGTATACCCTAGAACAAATGGACTTAACACATATTTATAGAACATTCTACCCAACGACTGCAGAATGTACATTCTGTTCATCAGCACACGGAACATACTCCAAGATAGACCATATGATAGACCACAAAACAAGTCTCAATAAAGATAAGAAAATCGAAATCATTATCAAGTGCTCTCTCAGACCACAGTGCAATACAATTGGAAATCAACTTCAAAAGGAACCCTCAAAACCATGCAAATATATCAAGTTGAATAACCTGCTCCTGAATGATCATTGGGTCACCAATGAAATCAAGATGGAAATTTAAAAATTCTTTGAACTGAATGGTAATAGTACACAACCTATCAAAACCTCTGGGATACAGCAAAAGCAGTGCTGAGAGGAAAGTTCACAGCATTAAATGGCTACATCAAAAAGTCTGAAAGAGTACAAATAGGCAATCTAAGGTCACACCTCAAAAAACTCAGAAAACAAGAATAAACCAAATCCAACCCCAGCAGAAAAAGAGAAATAACAAAGATCAGAGCAGAACTAAATGAAATTGAAATAAAAAAATACAAAAAATAAATGAAACAAAAAGTTGGTTCTTTGAAAAGATAAACAAATATGATAGACCGTTAGTGAGATTAACCAAGAAGAGAAGAGAGAGGATCCAAATAACCTCAATTAGAAACAAAATAGGAGACATTACAACTGATGTTACAGACATACAAAAGATAATTCAAGGCTACTATAAACACCTTTATGTGCACAAACTAGAAAACCTAGAGGAGACAGATAAATTCCTGGAAATATACAATCCTCCTAGATTAAACCAGAAAGAAATAGAAGCTCTGAACAGATCGATAATGGGTAGCAAGATTGAAACAGTAATAAAAAAAATGCCAACAAAAAAAAAGTTCAGGACCACATGGATTCACAACTGAATTCTTTCAGACATTGAAAGAATTGGTGCCAATCCTACTGAAACTATTCCAAAAGATAAAGAGGGAATCTTCCCTAAATCATTCTATTAAGCCAGTATTACCCTAATACCAAAACCAGGAAAGGACATAACATAAAAAGAAAACTACAGACCAATATCACTGATGAACATAGAAGCAAAAATCCTCAACTCAATACTAGATAAATGAATTCAACAGCATATTAAAAAGATAATCTACCATGATCAAGTGAGTTTTAAACAAGGGATGCAGGGATGGTTTAACATACAGAAGTCAACAAATGTGATACACTACATAAACAGAAGTGAAAACAAAAATCATATGATCCTCAATAGATGCATAAAAGCATTTGACAAAATCCAGCATTCTTTTATGATTAAGACCTTCAGCAAAATTGGCATAGAAGGGACATACCTAAATGGGAAAAAGTTGAAAGCGTTCCCCCCTGAGAACTGGAACAAGATAAGGATGCTCACTTTCACCACTTCTATTAAACATAGTACTGAAAGTCCTAGCCAGAGCAATCAGACGAGAAAAAAATAAAGGGGATCCAAATTGATAATGAGGAAGTCAAACCGTGGCTGTTCACCGATGATATGATCATATACCTAGAAAACCCTAGAGACTTATTAAAAAAGCTCCCGGATCTGATGAATGAATTCAATAAGTTTCTGGATACAAAATCAGTGTGCACAAACCAGTAGCACTGCTATCCACCAACAGCGACCAAGCTGAGAATCAAATTGAGAACTCAACCCCCTTCACAACAGCTGCAAAAAGAAACCCTTAAGAATATACCTAACCAAAGAGGTGAAAGATCTCTACAAGGAAAACTACAAAACACTGGTGAAAGAAATCATAGATGACACAAACAAATGGAAACATCCCATGCTCATGGATGGGTAGAATCAATAATATGAAAATGACCAATGGCAAAAAACAATCTGTAATTTCAATGCAATTTTCATCAAAATACCATCATCGTTCTTCACAGAACTAGAAAAACAATCCTAAAATGTATAGGGAACACAAAAAGAGCCCACATAGCCAAAGCAAGACTAAGCAAAAAGAACAAATCTGCAAGTACCACATTACCAGACTTCACACTATACCACAAAGCTATAGTTACCAGAACAGCATGATACTGATATAAAAACAGGCAAGTAGACCAATAGAACAGAATAGAGGATGCAGAAATAAGGCCAAATACTTACAGCCAACTGAACTTCAACAAAGCAAACAAAAACATAAAGTGTGGAAAGGACACCCTATTCAACAAATGGTGCTGGGATAATTGGCAAGCCACATGTGGAAGAATGAAACTGGATCCTCATCACTCACCTTGTACAAAAATCAATCAAGATGAATTAAAGACTTAAATTTAACATCATCTGAACGATAAAATTCTAGGAGATAACATGGTAAAAACTCTTCTAGACATTGGCCTAGGCAAAGACTTCATGACTGAGGACCGAAAATCAAATGCAACTAAAACAAAGATAAATAGATGGGACTTAATTAAAAAGCTTCTGCACAGCAAAAGAAATGATCAGCAGAGTAAACAGGCAACACACAGGGTAGAAGAAAATCTTCACAAACTGTGCATCAGACAAAGGACCAATATCCAGAATCTACAAGGAATGCAAACAAATCAGCAAGAAAAACAACAGCAACAAATAATCCTATCAAAAAGTGGGCTAAGGGCATGAATAGACAATTCTCAAAAGAAGATATACAAATGACCAACAAACATATGAAAAAATGCTCAACATCACTAATTATCAGGGAATTGAGAATCAAAGCCACAATGTGATACCACCTTACTCCTGCAAGAATGGCCATAATTAAAACTTTTTTAAAAAAAATATGTTGGTGTGGATGTGGTGAAAAGGGAAAACTTTTACACTGCTGGTGGGAATGTGAACTAGTACAACCACTGTGGAAAGGACTATGGACATTCCTTAAATAACCAAAAGTAGATCCGCCATTTGATCCAGCAATCCCACTGGGGGCATCTACCCAGAGGAAAATAAATCATTATATGAAAAAGACGCTTGCTTATGCATGTTTATAGCAGCAGAATTCACAATTGCAAAAATATGGAACCAGTCTAAATGACTATCAACCAACAAGTGGACAAAGAACCAACAAGTGGATAAAGAATTTGTGGTATATATGTATGTGTATATATATTTGTGTGTATATATGTATATATATGTGTATATATATGTATGTGTATATATGTGTATACATGTATGTGTATATATGTATGTATATATGTATATATGTATGTATATATATGCATATATATGTGTATATGTGTATATATAGTGTATATATGTGTATATATACACACATATACATATATAGTGTATATATGTGTAAATATATACACATATATACATATACACATATACACATATATACATATACTCATATATATACACTATATATACACATATATACACACACATATATACACGTATATATACACATATATATATACACATACATATATACACATACACATATACAATGGAATACTACTCTGCCATAAAAAGGAATGAAATAATGGCATTTGCAGTAACCTGGATGGAATTGGAGACTGTTATTCTAAGTGAAGTAACTCAAGAATGGAAAACCAAACATCGTATGTTCTCACTTATAAGTGGGAGCTAAGCTATAAGGATACAAAGGCATAAGAGTAATATAATGGACTCTGGAGATGCGTGGGAAGGTATGGGAGTGGGGTGAGGGATAAAAGACTACACACTGGGTGCAGTGTACACTGCTTGGGTCATGGGTGCAACAAAATTTCAGAAATCACACCTAACGAACTTATCCATGTAGCCAAACCCCACCTGTTCTCCCAAACGATTGAAATAATTAATAATAATAAAGGTGAGATCCAGAACAAAAAAAGATGAGCCCATGAGGTGCACTTCTTGAGCAACACAATTCAATTTATTTAATTTTACCTCAATGATTGTGAAAATATAGTTTTTCAATATTCTAAAGTCACGACTCTCATATACCTACAAAGTAAAAATATTTTTAAAAGAATTTTCTCTGCCTCTCAATGAAGGAGCCAGTAGGATGATAAAGCTTGATTCAAAGAGTACTTGAGGAAGTGAGTGTTCACAGGTATTTTTAAAAATGTTAGAGTAGGCTGGGGGCAGTGGCTCATGCCTGTAATCCCAGTACTTTGGGAGGCCGAGGCGCGCGGATCATGAGGTCAGGAGATCGAGACCATCCTGGCTAACACGGTGAAACCCTGTCTCTACTAAAAAATACAACAAAAATTAGCCAGGCGTGGTGGTGTGCGCCTGTAGTCCCAGCTACTCGGGAGGCTGAGGCAGGAGAATGGCATGAACCCGGGAGGCGGAGCTTGCAGTGAGCCGAGATCTCGCCACTGCACTCCAGCCTGGGTGACAGAGCAAGACTCCGTCTCAAAAAAAAAAAAAAAAAAAAGTTAGAATCAAAGTACGATTGCCTTTTATACCAGTTCGTAAAAGGAAACAAATTCTGAAGAAACAAGTGTTGATACTTTCTCATTATACATATGCAAATTTTCCTCTATAAATACTTTGAACAATTAGTTTTGAATTAAATGTTGACTCTGTAAGCTTGAGTGACAGTAGATATTGTATTTGTCTTCTCATGCATCACCTGGAAAATTTGTGTGAGACTTTTTACAGATAGCAAATACTTGAAAACTTAAGAAAAAGTTGGCGAAAAACAATTTTGAGAAGATAAATGTTATATAAGCTGGGCCTTCAGGACCTTTGAAAGCTAGGAAAATTTTTATTTACTTTGCATAGGATAATGACAATAGCCATAAGAGACTGGGGCATGTGTTGAAGAAAGAAGAGTTTTCAGAGATGATGATTAGATGCTTCTTAGCAAAAGTAAATTTGTAGAAAGGGAAGCCCAGAAGCAGATCAGAAATATGTAATTATGGAAGTTATTTTTAAGTTTTTTGCAACATGAAATTTGAAATAAATATGAAATAAACTTTCTCCTGCGTGTTCTTAGAATATCTTCATCATTTGTGTGATTAAATTTCTTGTGCATAAAAAAATGGGTAATGCTTATAAGAGAAGCTAGAAACTCAAAGATAAGCAGACATCCATAAAGGAAAGAAAGGCAAAGTGGAGCTAGGGATATAAAAATTACTTGTAATCCATTTTGGCTCTGCTCAGTTGGGCAGTTTCTGGTTTCTCCATATTAATCTTAAAGAAGAAATCAGCAGCCATTTATAAAATGATAAATCCTCATCATAAACATTTTAAAAATGTTGCAGGCTTTAAAAGGAGATATTTTAAGAATCCTGTGTGATGCTTAAATAGTTAACAAGAAGATTTAATTTTCTAATTGCTATTAGAAACTTAGGGAAAAAAATGGACCAGCATATAGAGCCTACACAGAAATAAAACTTAAATAGCATTGATATTTAAAGTTTTATGTTTCTCTTTCCTCCTAGTTCAAACCGGCTAATATGATTTGTAGGAAATCAGTTGGTAAAGAATGCGATTTCACTGAATATTGCAATGGGGACCTTCCATACTGTTTGCCTGACACTTATGTACGTGATGGAGAATATTGTGATTCAGGTGGAGCCTTCTGTTTTCAAGGAAAGTGTCGGACTTTTGACAAACAATGTGATGATTTAATTGGAAGAGGTAATAATCATAATTTTCTTCTTAGTCCCTAAATTCTGATTATTCCAAACTCTGTTATTGAATTTTATGGAACAAAAATGTAAATGTATGTGTTAATGACTGAATTCTTGCATAATGTATATTAGTGTTAAAGAAAAAACAAAATTATCTTTTCTTTTTCTTTTTTGAGACGGAGTTTCTCTCTGTCGCCCAGGCTGGAGTGCAGTGGCCTGATCTCAGCTCACTGTAACCTCCGCCTCTTTGGTCCAAGCGATCCTCCTGGGTTCAAGCGATCCTCCTGCCGCAGCCTACGGAGTAGCTGGGATAACAGGAGCACACTGTCATGGGTGGTTAAGTTTGTGTTTTTAGTAGAGACAGTGTTTCACCATGTTGGCCAGGCTTGTCTCAAACTCCTAGCTTCAAGTGATCTGCCCACATCGTGCTCCCAAAGTGCTGGGATTACAGGCACGAGCCACTGCGCCTGGCGCAAAAACAAAATTTTCATGATTGTGAAATACAACAACAAAAAACCTCTCTGAATTTATATGGAATTTCTGTAGGAACAGAAAATAAACCTCAAGTGAAAATGCAGTTTTTCAAAATATTATATAGAATTTGTGGTGGGGGTTTAGTTTAAAGGAAACAAGGTTTCTTAATCAGAGGAAAGCAGGGCTAATCACTGATTAGTTGGGTTTCTAAGCGCTTGCTGAAAAGTGAGGGCTTCAGTTCATTAGCAATCTAGTCCATTTTGATAATTTCCTATAAATGTCATTTGCTTGATTGGAAGATACAAATTCCTGAACGTATGCAGTGCATGTTCTCCGAGAGAGTGAAATTTTTCATTCTTAGCCCTCCCTTGAGGTCTTCTCTAACCAGGTCATAGATCTCTAAATATTGTCTACAGCAATGTGACTGCCAGGAATTTAAGGAGAAGGTGAGATGGGGGTTTTGATGATTTTCATAATTTTGTCCTGCTTTTCTAACAGAATCATTATTTGTACCATATGGCAAGACAATAGCTATAGACTTTAAAACATTGTTAACATACAAACAAAGAGCTGGGGCCAGTAGCTCATGCCTGTAATCCCAGCACTTTGGGAGGCCAAGGCGGGCGGATCACAAGGTCAGGAGTTCAAGACCAGCCTGGCCAACATGGTGAAGCCCTGTCTCTACTAAAAATACAAAAATTAGCCGGGTGTGCTTGGGATGAGGCGGGATAATCGCTTGAATCCAGGAGGCCGAGGTTGCAGTGAGCTGAGATCACGCCACTGCACTCCAGCCTGGGCGACAGAGCAAGACACCGTCTTGGAAAACAAAAACAATAACAAAATCATTCAAACGAATGACCAGTAAAATTAGGAGGAATGGGACAGTACTTCAGATCTATGATCTAATGTTTCTTTAAGTAAAGCCAGGACTCAATGCTAGGCAGATAAAATTAGAGCCACATAGTGGATTGCCAATCAGGTGTCTTCCGGGTTATGCCATTCACTGTGTATTTAGTATTATCAGTGATTTTAAGAGATTTTAAAGTCCTTTGTGAGAACTGTGGGAGTACACGGGTATTTGCCCCAAAGAGTACAGTTTTTTTTTTTTGGAAGGCAAGCATGACTTCTAAAGCACCTTGATTTCAAAATAATGTATGTCCACTTCTAGTGACCATGTGTTCATGCATCTAGGACGTGATAATTCTGGACTTGACTACCAGTTTTTGTACTTATTTTTGAAAAACAATCTCACTTTGCTAGCCCCCTGAGGGCAATAGAAGCCTGATGAAAATTTACCCTCAATGGTAGCTGTATTTCAACGCATATTAAATCCAGTTCTTTGTACAATAACATGCTATACGGGTTTGCAGCCTAGGAGCAATAGGCTACACCATATAGCCTAGGTGTGTAGCAGGCTATACCATCTAGGTTTGTTTAACTACACTGTATGATGTTCACACAACAATGGATACATTGCTCAGAACATATCCTCATCATTAAGCAACTGATGACTGTACTCAGTAAATATAAGGTATTATTATTATTATTAGATTATGATGTGTGTTCCCTACAAATATCCAATTATTTGAGTAGGTCATCTATGACCTGTCATGGTTGGCTCAAATGATCCTTGAGCAGGGTTTGATATAATTCTGAAGTAGGCATTAGTTTTGCTTGGTAAAACCTATATGCTATTTGTAGGAAACAGACAATAAGAATTCTTATACCACAGGCCTAATACAAATCATCATGCCCCCCCAAATTGTTGATTTCTGGACAAAATATACTAATGAAGTTGTCACATTGAAAGACATAGCTTATTTATCAAGCAATGGCATTTAAAATAGGGAAATCTGTAGATCTATGGTAAAAGAACGAGGTTAAGTATTAAGCTTTTTTTTTTTCAAAAAAATCAAACCAGTGAAGGAAAAACACCTCAAATGGTTACCACCTTTTTCTAAGCTCTTTACTAAATTTTGTTTTTGGAAATGTCTGGCCCCTACAGCATGCTCCTCTTCAGTGTTATCTCTGCAAATGCAGAAACTTCCTATTGTAGGTATAATATAAAATGATGTTATTACCTTTGGTGTTATTTGGTTTGTGGTTATGTTTGCCCTAATAAGGCTGAAAGTCTCATGAGTTGTAAAGTTCCATATATTATTAGAGGGCTTTATGACCAAGTTGAGTTGTATATCATCTAGACAAATGTTAAGTGCTAATCCAACCGTTATACAAGGGTTTCTCAACCTCAGCACTAGTGATAATGTAGGCCAGCTCATACTTTATTGTGAGAAGTGGGGGCAGGGAATGCTTCTCCTGTGCATTGTAGGATATTTGGCAGCGTCCTTGGCCTCTGCCCACTAGACAGGATGCCTGGAGAGACTTTTGGTTGTCCCAGCTTGGATGGGGTGAATCTTGGCTTCTAGTGAGTACAGGTCAGGGGTGCTGCTAAATGCTTTGTAATACACAGGATAGCCTCTACAACAAAGAATTATATCTGCTGTGCTGTGTTGAGACCTCCTTCTCTAGAGAGGGCCAGAAGTTTGACTACTTAAGCTGATTAAGACTCTGAAAAAGGATTATATTCCACACTAAAGTATGAACAGTCTTTGCAAAACTAACCTGGTAATGTTTCTTTTTCAATTTTTAAGATATGATTTATCAAAAACCATATTGGATCAATATTCTTATGAAAGTGGCACAAAGGTTGGCTCTGGGCGTAGATATTTTCCAAACCATAGAAGCATACTTACCAGGGACGTGTAAAAGATTTGCTGGATTATTGAATAGTTGTGTGAGAAGGAGAAATAAACAATATTTCATGATTATTTAATCAACTAATAAAATATGTTCAGGGTTTTCAGCATCTATATTCAGGCTTATTTAGTATATAGCACTATAAAATTTAAATGTAATCCTTATACAAGGTCTGAGGATGCTTCAACTAATTTATCTAAAGCTACAATTGCTCTGGATTTAAGAAACAGACTACAAACAGGTGATGGAGCTTTGATGAGCACTGGGCAGTTAGGTAAATATTCCTATAATGTGACTTGACCTTTAATGAACACATAGACACTAACATTTATGATAATCTGGAAAACACAGTAAAGATGTGAAGGCTGCTTTGGGGTCCTGAAGGCATCTTTTACCTCTCAGTTCACTGAAAGATATTCTGAAATGTTTGAAAAAGTAAAATCATGTATGGAACTTAGTATTCCATAAAATTAGGAACCAATTGTATATTTAGCCATTTAATCCTGGACATCCTTAAATTTATAAATGTCTTTCAGAAGTTTCTTTTGGATAATTATGAATAGTCAACAATCTTTTGACTATTTCAGACAAAGTTCTTCCTTTGGCTGACAAATTATGGCTAGGTGATAAAATAGGATAGGGAAGCTTTTCCTTAAAAATTTTATACTTCCTTTTAGCCAATGGAATAGATAAATATATAGAGATAGCTTGAAAACTCCAAATAAGTACAGATAGGAGATCGCCTACTTTGGGCAAAGGTAGATCTGGAAGGAAACTTTATATTTTGAGATGCTGATTTAAACCATGAGAAAAGTAAGGTGGATACTCAGAAAAGCCTTAATGTATTATTGTCGAAGTATTATTGTTCTGTAGCACCTTGTACATGTATGGATTGTGCTCCTTAACTGAGTGAAATTTACAGATCATGTTCTCCAAGTATGAAAGTCTGTGAAATTATTGAAGATAGCTCTCTTGTCAATTAATAGTGGTAACAACAAATGATCTCTATTTTGATTACATATGACTAACATGATCAACGTAAACTACGTCTAAACTACTAAGTCAAAGTAATAGGACAGTTATTATAGATGTTTGAATTTTTCAGAATTTTAAAATTAGACATAACTAAATATATAAAGGACTGAAGTAGATGAACATTGATATTCTAATTTTAAAATTCAACAATTTTTATTTAGTGATTATTAGGATCTAATAATTATTAAGATCTAATAATCTAATAATAGATTATGACTCTAGTGTGGAGCAAGGAGAGTTAAATGAAGTGTTCTTTGTGTTTGTCATCATTATTGCACTAAAGATACTATTTTTCTACTGTTTCATTTAGAATAAGAGTAAACAGCATTTTCACAACGGGTAGGGAAGTAAGGCAGGAAGTAAATAATTTATAGGAAATAGAGAGGGCGACAGTTGCTTATTTGTCTAACAATACAGAAGCATTCTAATAATGTTGTTGTTTGTTTTCTGTTTCTGCAGAAGAAAGTCTTCTAGGCTTATAAAAAGGAGTTTGTTTTTTAATCCTAGCTCTGCCCCCAGAAACTTTTTAGTCCTGGGTAATTATAAACTTTCTTATGGATCACATTGTAATTTCCAGATTGAGTCTTTCATTTCTTTAATATAACTTAAATTCTGTATTGTAATTTACTTAAGTTTTTGTTGTTGTTCATAGGTTCAAGAGGTGCTCCGGTTTTCTGTTATGATGAAATTAATACCAGAGGAGACAATTTTGGAAACTGTGGCACTGCACACTGTCTTTTTCAGTATGTATTTAGAAAATTATAAAACTGTTTGGAATGTAGGTTAGAGATTGTTAAAATCCTAGGAAATATATTATATGCAGTAAAATCGAATGTTGGGGGTCAGGTTTTCTTTATTACATCATCTGAGCTGGACAATATTATCCACTGCCTACAAGAACATTTGTTCAGCGCCTATAATGTTAAAACAACAATGACCATAAAAATGTCCTCTGTTTATTGTTGTGATGAGCTAGACATTGTTATGCAGCTTATATATATTATATATTTATAATATAGGTTATATTATTCAATTTATGTACATCAAATGTGTATAAGAATTACTTATCCCATTTACTATTGAAAAAACTGAAGACCAGAGATCATTTTCTCAAATTTCAGCAGCTATTGTGGAACAGATCACAGCTGTCATAGTGTAAAAACCATTAGTTTTTCACTTGCCAGATTGCCTCATGAAACAAAAAAGAATCATAACATAAGTCATTGTGCAAAAAAATATGTACTGAGAGAAAATAGTTGAAATTTGGATTTAAATTAGTAAATCACTTTTTAAAAATTTCACTGTATCAGCAACCTATGTTATCTCAATAAACAATAAGGTAATTTTTTTCTTCCTTGTGCTTCTAGACATATTCTATGTGGAAAATTAGTCTGTACATGGGAACACAGAGACTTAATATCACGTCCAAATTTATCTGTGATTTATGCACATGTACGAGACCAAACATGTGTGTCTACATACCTACCCAGGAGGACGCCACCTCCAGTAAATTCACCTATTTCAATCACATCATATTATTCAGCTGAAGACAGAGATGAAACATTTGTACAAGATGGTTCCATGTGTGGTCCTGATATGGTAATTAGAACTACACAAATTAAAGTGTTTTAAAATGATTTTTCTGGTTATACTCATTTTGACAATGTACTAACCAATGCATTTTCTTCCATTTTTTCTTGTGGTAAAATGCACGTAATATAAAAATTGCCATTTTAACCTTTTTAAGTGTACAATTCAGTGGTATTATATACATTCATAATGCTGTAAAACCATCACCACCCTCTATCTTCATAAATCTTTTCATTTTGTAAAACTGAAACTCATTTCATTAAACAATAACTCCCCATTCCTACCTCCTCTGATCCCCTGAAAAACCACCATTCTACTTTCTGACTCTATAAATTTGACTATTATAGGTATCTCACATAAGAGGAATAATATAGTATTTTTCTTTCTGACTGGCTTATTTCACTTAGCATAAGGCCCTCAAGTTTCAGCTATACTGTAGTATGTCAGAATTTCCTTCATTTTTAAAGCTGACTACTATTCTGTTGTATGTACGTTCTGCATTTTGTTTATCTATTCATCTGTTGATGAACATTTGGAATCATTCCATGTTTTAGCTATTATAAACAATGCCACTATAATCATGGCAGTATAAATATGTCTTCAAAACTGTGCTTTCAATTTCTGGGGGTATATACCTGGAAGTAGAATTGCTGGATCACATGGTAGTTCTATTTTTAAATTTTTGAGGAACTGCTCCACTGTCTTCCATGGTGGCTATACCATTTTACATTTCTACTAGCCATGCATAATGATTCCAGTTTCTCCACATCCTCACCAACACTTACTTTCCGTTTTTTTTTTTTTCGATAGTAGCCATCCTAATGGGTGTGAAGTGGTATCTCACTGTAATTTTGATTTGCATTTCCCTAATGATCTGTGATTTTGAGCATCTTTTCATGTGCTTATTGACCATTTGTATATGTTCTTTAGGGAAATGTCTATTTAAATGCTATTCCCGTTTTTAAATCATCTTTTTTGTTGTTGAGTTTTAGGAATTCTCTATATATTTTGGATATTACTCTCTTATGATATGATTTTAAAATATTTTCTTTCATTCTTTGAGTTGCCTTTTTACTCTGTTGATAGTGTCTTTTAATGCACAATTTAAAAACAACTACGAAATCCAATTAGTCTATTTTTTCTTTTGTTGCATGTACTTTTGGTGTCATATCCAATAAATGACTGGCCAAATCAATATTATGAAGCTTTTGCCCTATATTTTATTCTAAGAGTATTATAGTTTTAAGCTCTTATGTTTACCTATAGAATCCATTTCAAGTTCATCTTGGTATGTGGTGTTAGGTAAAGGTTCAGTTTTATTCTTTTGTGTGTGGACATCTAGTTTCTCCAGCACCATTTGTTGAAAAGACTGTCCTCTCTCCATTGAATGGTCTCAGCACCCTTGTAAAAATTCAGTAGTATCTCTTAACCATATATGCAAGCATTTGTTTATGGGCTATTTATGCTATTCCATTGGTAATATATTAGTCTTTATGCCAGTACCACACTGTTTTCTTTCCTGTAGCTTCCTAGTAAGTTTTGAAATTGGGAAATGTGACTCTTTTAGCTTTGTTCTTTTTCAAGATTGTTTTTGGGGTTCTTTGAGATTCTATATGAATTTTAGTATAAATTTTTCCATTTCTGCAAAAAAATCATTGGGATTTTTATAGTAATTGTATTGAATCTGTAGATCACTTTGAATAGTATGGACATCCTAAACTGCTTTGTTAAATTAATTCTTAAGTACTTTAAGTACTTTTTGATGCTATCATAAATGGAAATGTGTTCATAATATCCCTTTCAGAGTGTTCATTGTTACTGTATAGAAATGAAACCAGTTTTTATATGTTGATTTTGTATTTTGCCACTTTGCTGAATACATTGTTAATTCTAACTGTTTGGGGTAATCCTTAGAGTTTTCTACTTATAAAATTATGTCCTCTGGAAGCAGAAAAGTTTTAATTGTTCCTTTCCAATTTGGATGCCTTTTATTTCTTTTTCTTGGCTAACATCTCTGGCTAGAACTTCCAGTACAATGTTGAAGAGAAGTGGTGAAAGGAAGTATCCTTGCCCTGTTCCTGATCTTAGCGGAGAAGCTTTGAAGTCTTATCATTAAGTATAATGTCAGTTGTGGGATTTTTATATATGGATTTTTATCATGTTGAGGTAGTTTCCTTCTACCTCATGACTGAGTGTACTTTGAATGTTTGTGTCATGAAAGGTGTTGAATTTTGTTAAATGCCTTTTCTTTATCAATTAAGATGATCATTTTGTTTTTCTCCTTCATTCTATTAATGTGGTCATTACATCGATCAGCTATCATACATTGAACCATCCTTGCATTCCAGAAATCTCAATTGGTCATAGTGTATACTCCTAATATAGTGCAGTTTGCCAGCATTTTACTGAGGATTCTGCATCTATGTTCATAATGGTTATTGGTCTGTATTTTTTCTTTGTAGTATATTTGTCTGGCTTTGATATCAGGATAATGTTGGCCTTATAAAATGAGTTAGAAGATATTTCCTCTTCTTCATGTTTTTGGAAAAATTTGAGAAGAACTGGTGTTAATTCTTCTTTACATATTTGAAGGCATTATGTCCAGAAATTTTCTTCATAGGAAGGCTTATGATTATTAATTAATTAATTAAATTATTAATTAAATCTCCTTATGAGTTAGGAGTCTGTTCAGGTTTTTAAGTTCTTCATAGTGTTGATAGGTTTTGTTTCTAGGAATTTGTCAGTTTTATCAAGCTAATCCAGTTCATTGGTAAACAATTGATCTTGGTATTCTTATAATCCTTTCTATTTCTGTAGAATTGGTAGTAATGTTCTCACTTTTATTCCTGACTTTAGTAATTTGAGTTTTCTGTCTTTATTAGTACATCTAGATAAAGGTTTGTCAATTTTGTTCATCTTTTCAAAGAACCAATTTTTGGTTTCCTTAAGTTTATTGTTTTACTCTGTATTTTATCTCCACTTTAATCTTTATTTCCTTCCTTCTGCTAGAATTTAGTTTATTTATTTATTTATTTTTCTATTTCCTTAAGTTGTAAAGTTAGGTTGTTGATTTTAAATTTCTCTTCTTTTTTATTGTAAGCATTTATACTAATAAATCTTCCCCCTAGTACTTCTTTCACTGCATTCCATAAGTTTTGGGATATTGTGTTTATATTTCTATTTGTTTGTAAGTATTTTCTAATTTCCTTAGTGATTCCTTCTTTGATCCACTGGTTCCTTAAGAGTGTTTTGTTTAATTTCTATAGCTTTGTGGAGTTTACAGTTTTATTTAGATTATTTTTCCAAATTTTTAATTTACTTTTTTATTAGAAATTATTATTCTAAATTTTTTGATACATTAAACAATTTATTTTTAAATTTTTATATATTCATGGAGGTACATGTGCAGTTATTGGTGAAGTTTTGACATCCAGTGTGCCTGTCACCTGAATAATGAACATTGTCTCCAGTTATTTTTCAACTCTAACCCTCTGATTCTTCCTCACTTTTGGGGTTGCTGGTGCCTATTATTTCCATCTTTATGTCCATATGTACCTATTTTTTAGCTTCCACTTACAGGTGAGAACACATGGTATTTGATTTTCAGTTTCTGAGTTAGTTCATATATGATAATGATGTCTACCTTTATCCATGTTGCTGTACTGCATGGGACATGATTTAATTATTTTTATTGCTATGTCATAATTCATGTATTATATATCCTTATATGTCTAGATATATAATTCATTTATTATATATCATAATATATAATAAATGTATATATCATATATTAATATCATATATTTATATATATATTTATATATTATATATTTATTTATATAATATATTATATAACATATTATATATTTATATAATATATATTAATATATAAATATATATTTATATATTAAATTAATTTATATATATTTATTATATTATAATAATATATAATATATTATATAATATATTAAATAATATATAATATATTATCTAATATATTAGATAATATATAATATATTATCTAATATATTATAATATATTAGATAATATATTATCTAATATATAATATAATATATATTATATAATATATTATATAGTATACAATATATTATATAATATATTGTATACTATATATTATATTATATTAATATATATAAATTATATATTAATATAATATAATATATAGTATACAATATAATATATAATACATTATATTAATTCATACATAATAAATGAATTATATAATTCATATATAATAAATTCATATATAAATAATATATAATAAATTAATTATATACCTAGATATGTAGATATATAATACATGAATTACTACACAGTAATGTATATAATATAAATACATAAATAATGTATAACATAAATTCATTTAATTATTGTATATGATAAATGCATATATTATATATTGTATAATTAATGTAATTTATTATATATAATGAATTCTTATATATAATAAATGAATTATATATCTAGATATATAAAGATATTTATAAAAGATATTTATATATAAAAGATAAAGATATATATCTAGATATATAAATATCTTTATATATCTAGATAAATAATTCATTTATTATGTATTATATATTTATATAATTAATTATATATTATATATAATAAATGAATTATATATCTGTTACCTTTATACCTGAATTATATATATGTGTTACCTTTTCTCCACATGAATTATGTATATGTGTTACCTTTTCTTCACATATATATAATTATCTATAAGTGTTACCTTTTATCCACATCCTCACCAACATCTGTTGTTTTTAGACTTTTTAAGAATAGCCATTCTGAGGCATGGCGCGGTGGCTCACGCCTGTAATCCCAGCACTTTGGGAGGCTGAGGAGGGTGGATCACGAGGTCAGGAGATCGAGACCATCCTGGTAAACACTGTGAAACCCCGTCTCTACTAAAAATACAAAAATAATAGCCGGGCCTGGTGGCAGGCACCTGTAGTCCCAGCTACTCGGGAGGCTGAGGCAGGGGAATGGTGTGAACCCGGGAGGTGGAGCTTGCAGTGAGCAGAGATTGTGCTACTGAGCTCCAGCCTGGGCAACAGAGTGAGACTCTCTCTAAAAAAATAAAAAATAAAAAATAGCCATTCTGACTGGTGTGAGATGGGGCATCATCATAATTTTAAATTACATTTCTCTGATCTTTGGTGATGCTCAGCATTTTATCGTATGTTTGCTAGCCACTCGTATATCTTCTTTTGAGAGATGTCTGTTCATGTTCTTTGCCCACTCGTTACTGGGATTATTTGTTTTTCAGTTGAGTTGTTGCATTCCTGGTGGATTCTGGATATCAGTTCTTTGTTGGATGCATAGTTTGCAAATATTTTCTCCCATTCTGTAGGTTGTCTGTTTACTCTGTTGTTATTTTTTTGCTATGTAGACACTTTTTTAGTTTAATTAAATCCTATCTATCTATTTTTTTTGTTGTTGCATTTGCTTTTGGAGTTTTAGTCCTAAGTTCTATTTGGGGTTTTAATCCTAAGTTTTTGTCCAGAAGAGTTGTTTCCTAGACTTTCTTCAGGAATTGTTATAGTTTCAGGTTTTAGGTTTAAGTTTTGAATGCATCTTCGGTTAATTTTTGTGTATTGTGAAAGGTAGGGGTCCAGTTTTATTCTTCTGCATTTGGCTAACCAGCTATCCCAGAACCATTTATTAGATAGAGAGTCCTTTCCCCATTTCTTATTGAATTTTGGGTGTGGCTCTTTTATCCTGCAACTGTCCTGTGTTAAATTAGTTGTAGGAGTTTGATTGTGGACTTCTTGGGATTTTTTTATGTAGAAAATAATTTGGAAATAGAGACCATTTTATTTTTTCCTTTTCAATCTGTATATGTTTTATTTCTTTTTCTTGCTTTACTGCAGTGGTTAGAACTTACAGTATGATGTTGAATAAGAGTGTTGAGAGAGGATGTCTCTGACTTTTTCCTAATCTAAGAGGAATGTATTAAGTCTTTCATCATTAAGTATGTTAGATGTAGGGTTTTTTCTTTTTTGCAGATGCCCCTTAAGTTGAGCTAACCGTCTTCTACTGCTAATTTATTGCAGGTTTTTATTATACTTGTGTCTTGAATTTTGTCAAATGCTTTTTGTGTGTCGATTGATGTGGTCACATGAGTTTTCTTCTTTAGTTCATTGAATGTTGGATTACATTAATCAATTTTTAAATGTAGAAACAGCATTACATACTTGGTATTAATATCACTTGGTCATTGTGTATAAATTTTTTATACATTGTTGCATTTAGTTTGCTAATATTTTGTTGAATAATCTTTGTAACCAAATTCATGAGGGGTATTGGTCTGTAGTTTTTTTTTTGTTGCAATGTATCTATCTGATTTTGGTCATTTTATATGGCATTATAAAATTAATTGAAAACTGTTTTTCACTCTTCTATTTTTGGAAAGAGATTATGTAAAATGTATGTTAATTTTTTTCTTTAAATGTTGATAGAATTCTCTAGTGAAATCATTTGGGCCTGGAAATTTCATTTTTTAGGAGGTTTTAAACTATGAATTCAATTTCTTCAATTGTTGTATTGGTCTTCAGATTATAAGCTGTTTCTTGGTGATTTTTGGTTGCTCATAGTTTCCCAGAAATTGGTCAATTTCCTCAAAGTTTCTGAATTTATAAATATAAAGTTGTTCATAGTATTTCTTTATAATTCTGTGTAATGGCTGCAGGATCTGCAATGATATCCTCTATCTCATTTCTGATATTGGTGATTTCTGTCTTCTTTTTTTAACTTCTCAGTCTTGCTAAAGTTATTAATTTCATAAAAAATTTTCAAAGCATCTGCTTTTTGTTTCGTTGGTTTTCTCAGTCTAGCTAAAAATTTATTAATTTCATAAAAAATTTATTAATTTCATAAAAAATTTTTAAAGACTCCACTCTTTGTTATAATGGTTTTCTTTATTATTTTCCAGCTTTTAATTTCATATAGAACTAGCAATCAATTTCATTGATTTCTGCTTTTATTATCGTTTACTTTCTTTTGCTTTGAGTTTAATTTCTTCTTCCTTTCCTCCAGTTTCTTGAAGTGGTAACTTCAATGATTGCTTTGAGGCTTTTTCTCATTTATAGCATTTGGTCTTATAAATCTCCCTCTCAGAACTGTTTTAGCTGCATCCTACATATTTTAATGTATATTTTTGTTTTCCTTTGATTCTATGTATTTTTTTTTAGTTTCTTTGAGGGCTATTTGATACATGAATTGTTTATAAATGTATTGTTTAATTTCAACATATTTAGAAATTTTCCTGTTGTATTTCTTTTATTGATTTCAGGTTTGATTTTATTATTATCAGAGAACATGTTCTCATAATTTTAATTTTTAAAAACTTGTTGAGGTTTTCTTTATGGTAAGGAGTATGATATATCTTGCTGCATATTCCATAGGCACTTGTAGAAATGTATATTCTGTTGATACGGGTTGTAGTGACCTGTATATGCATCAGTTAAATCCTGTTTTGTCCAGATTCCTGTATATCTGCTGACTTTCTGTATAATTTCTGTAAATTGCTGAGACAAAGGTGTCAAAATATCCAACTGCAATTGTGGCTTTGTCTATTTTCCTTTCAGTGCTATTACTTTTTGCCTTATGTTTGGAGGCTTTGTGGTTTGGGATGTAGACATTTAGGAGAACTGTGTATTATTGTTGGAATGATTATCATATCATGACATAATGTCTTCATTTGTCTCTAGTAATTTTCTTTGCTCTGAAGTCTACTGTATCAGATATAAATATAGCTACTCCTGCTTTTATGGATAAATGTTTGAATGATATATTTTTTCTGTCCTTTTTATTTAAATCTATCTCTGCCATTGAATTCGAGGTGAGTTTTTAAAAGCATCACAGAGTTGAGTCATGCCTTCAATACAGTGTGGCATGTCTTTTGGTTGGTATAATGTTATTGCCTAAGTATGTTATTTCATTATTTGTTTCCTCTGGTTCCCATTCTTATTTTTCTCTTTTCTTGCCTTTCAATGGGTGATTTAAACATTGTTTTAGGATGCTATCTTGATCCAGTTATAGTGTTTCTAAGTTAGCCATGTCTTTCTGTAGTTTTCATAGTGGCTGCTCAAGGTTTTATGATATATGTATGTGGCCTAAAGAGGCTACTGCTATAAACATTTTGCCACTTTGAGTGAAATGAGAAAACAACCTCATTCCCATTTTAGTTGTGTTTACCTTCCCTACATTTAAGTATCATTGGTGGTGTTATAATTTTTGTTTCAATCATTAACTATAATTTTAAAAACCTATAAAGAAATGGATAGTCCATTTTATTTACTCATCTTCCTTTCCCTGTTTTTTTCTTCCTTTGTGGTGTTCCAAGATTTTTGATAAACATTTCTTTGCTATTTCAAGTTTACTGATTTAAGCTCAGTCACTTGGCTTTTTTTAAAATTTAGGTTATTGTATTTTTTCATTCTATAATTCCCATTTGGTTTATTTTTATATCACCTGTTCCTTTGCTAAGATTTTTGTATTTTTTTATTTGTTTCAAGAAGATTTGTAATTGATTATTGATTTTTTTATAATAGCTGCTTTACAATCCTTGTCATGTAATCCCATCATCTG
Organism: Homo sapiens; assembly: GCF_000001405.40. NCBI lineage: Eukaryota > Metazoa > Chordata > Mammalia > Primates > Hominidae > Homo > Homo sapiens. The sequence continues at coordinate 39,390,346 of NC_000008.11, forward strand.
AATCATCTTGGTTCTGATATCAGCTGGTTGTCTTTTATCATTCAAGTTGTGATTTTCTTAGCTCTTGGAATGACTTAGTTGCATCCAGAAATTGTATTTATTATGTTAGGAGACTCTGTGTCAAATATAAAGCACTGTTTTAGCAGGAAGTGATCTTGTTTAGGTCTTGGCCTTCTTTTGTGGGCTGTTCCAAAGGCAGTTCAATGTTCAGAGCCTTTACAATATTATTTGGTTGGCTTGGTTTACCTATTGCCACTGGGGCTCTCCATGGTCTTTGCTGGTGCCTCCTGGAAGGATAGGAGATTCATCAGGCCAGCCAACTGCATGTCTCTCTGTAGGGGAGAGGTGTGGTGGAGTTCTCCATCAGGTCCCGTTTCTCACTCCCACAGTTTTCCTTATGTCTCTGGATAGAGAATGGGGTCTCAGACCTGCACATTCAAACAAGCCTCCTGTGCTAATATATTTGTTATGTTTCCATCTCTCCTTTTTGTTCTACCCATTCACCTGGTAATGTCTTTACATGGTATGAATTTTCACTCAAATGATTAAATAATCTTTAGGTGGACCTTAGGTGGGCCTCTTAAAGAATGTTTAAATAGAATATTGAAAAGTTAGGTAATTCTCCATTTTCCCTATTTATTTAAAAGTTCAGCAGTATATGTTATTAATCATCTTCACACCTCTTTTAAGAGTAATATAACATTTTAGTAATTTTTATACACACATTTTTTGATGTTCTGACATATAATCTAATAATTTTGCATACATTATTAGTGAGTAAATCTTTAGACAAGAGCTGAAGATCTCAAATGAATAATAGTTTTGGTTGAGTAAGATATTATGTGAGCAAGAATTTTTCTTTATTAGCATGGTTTTTGCGATAACATTTCTTGAATTGTATTTATTGTTTCAATAGAAAAGCCAAATGTATGTTGGTTTTTACTTTTTATAATGGACTCTGATTTTTTCCTGATTGGTAGATGAATACTTTACTTAAACTGACTATTATTATACTATTATGTTCTACTATAATATAATGCACATTATTGTTATTATTTATTTAACATACCAAAATATGAAAACAACATTAACAATTAATATAGCACAAAATAATTATGCAATATTATTGGAGACATGTAATATTCTATAAATTAAGTATATATTTAATACAATTTTAATATTCTAATTGATTTAAGTCAAAAAGATACTATGTGAAGTTAAATTAACATACTGTTTTTGAGAGAAAGCTTCTGAGTAGACTTGCTAAATACAAATTTATTTCTATTTAGTAACATTTTGATAATAAATAGCACATAAAAAGGAAACAGAGTCCCTGTTACTTCTTGCTCATTTTGAAACATATGGAATACAAATATGATCTGAAGCCTCCCTTACCCTTGAAATCTAAATGATATTAGCTCAAACCTCCATTACAGAGTCCTGACTCTCCTGTTTCTGCATATAGTCATTATTATGACCCAAAGACAAAACTCACTCCAGGTATAAAACTCTTTCACAACGTGGTGAATTTAGTGACAGTTTTTTGATAATTAAAGAAGATCACATAAATGTATGTCATAAATTAGAAAAATTTAATTTCATCCATGAAACTTTTCTTTCTTAGAAGGCCTTTTATCCAGCTCACCAAGGGAGTTTCCCATTGTCCTGTTACCTCATATAATTACCTGTTGTCCTTTCTTCCCTCTTTCTTTTTATTTTATCATATGGAATAGTAAACTATCTTCCCTTGCTGCTCATACTCATGATTTTAAGATCTCACTTCTCTGCTCAATAGTTCTCAAACCTGGCTGCTCCTGAGAAACAACTGGATCCTCTCCCCAGAGTTTTTGATATAATGCTCTCAAGGGGAGCCCACACATGGGTATATTTTAAAATGTTCTTCAGATAATTCTTGAACTCAAAGGACTAATCAAGTTATTTTTCCCAGTAGTTTATCTAAGTTGACTTCTGGTACTAAATGGAAAGAAAATAACACCTCTGGCTTCTTACATATGATTACATCTTTACAAACTGAAAGTACATAGTTTATTTCATGTTTACTTCAGTGTAGTCACAATTTTTTTTTCCACTGGACACTCACAGCTTTTTAATGCAAGTTTTTGATAATATGAATTCTAATATTTTCTTGAATTTTTGAATGTGTTAGCCAGGCACAAAATCTGATTTTTTGACTGATTTTATTTTGTACTTTTTGGCTTTGTTTTTAGTATTGTTTCGAAATGCATTGTAAACATGTTAGATTCCTGATGAATTTAAAATTGTGTGATGCTTCTAATCATTGTGATCGTCATGGAGTAAGTAACTGCAATGTTTATTTTAAACAACTTGCTTTTAACAATCAAACAATTTGAGGATTTTAAAAAAATAAATGACTTTTTTTGTTTGCCATTTTTATGTCATTTGGTGTCATTTAATAGTCTATAATTTATAACCTCAATTTTGTCTTCTTAAGAAACTTATCAAACTATTTATTAAAGAAGACAAAGAGAAAACATTTAAGATGATTCTGGATATATTAAATGTTTGATGGATATGTGAGGAGGATGTGCTATAAGCAATAGAAGATAGAAACTGGTAAATAAAGACCATTAGAATTTTCTTGCTAGTGCTGCAAGTTAATTTAGAGTCTGGGCTGTCAGCTAGCAAGTAGGTTATAATTAGTGACAGGTTACTGGTAATTTGAGGTATTTGGGCCTGGCTATGGGGGGAGTTAAAAGAATTTTTTAGAAAAAAATTTGATTTGACAACACAAGATAGATGTACTTTGTGTAGTATGAACATTAGCAAGGGAAAATTTGACAAATTTATCTATTTAGATAAATTCTCTAGAATGAGATACTCTGTGGAATAAGTATAGATTATTCATTAGTCTCCATCGAAATTATTCTTTTTTTTATTATTTAAGGTTTGCAACAATTTTAACCATTGCCATTGTGAAAAGGGATATAATCCTCCTTACTGCCAACCAAAGCAAGGAGCATTTGGAAGTATTGATGATGGACACTTAGTACCACCAACTGGTTAGTGTTCTTAAAATTGTATTAATTATGCACAGTATGTAAGATAGTAAATTATAGGTTTCAAGCCAGATTACAAAGCAACTAATGTCAACATGCTTTTTTTTATTTATAAGATTTAAAAAATGTTGACAGTGCAAGTTTATACTGTTCTTTCTATATCAGCATTGACATTCTTTACTGAGAAAAAGTATGGCCAATGTTAGGCAGTTTTAAAAGTAGAAATTTTGGTGTGTAAAATTTGACCAGTTAATTTAAACTGTTCACTTTGGATTATCTCCTATATTTATATTTACTATTATATTTATATTTACTATATTTATTATAAACTCCTATAAACTAGAGTTTATAATAGTGTCAGTATAGTCATTATTATATTAATGCCCCTAGAATCTTTCAGGCTGTCTTTTCTTCCTATTCACTTATAATTGGTTATTTTTCTCCTGCATTGTAAGGGCTCCATGCTAATCTTTGGAGATTTGCTCTTTCTAATCCTGTCCTGATGTTCCTGAGTAGTATTTTGAGATTAATCAGGCCTAGATGAATTGGGCTCAACTGGTGGTGAAGGGCATACCCTGGTTCTAGAAGGTATGAGCCTACCCAAAATAACTGGGAGCATAGATGGGCTGCGAACTCTACCCCCATCTCTCTCTTTTTTGTGTGTGTGAGACGGAGTTTCGCTCTTGTCCCCCAGGCTGGAGTGCAATGGCACGATCTCTGCTCACTGCAACCTCCGCCTCCTGGGTTCAAGTGATTCTCCAGCCTCAGCCTCCCAAATAGCTGGGATTACAGGTGCCCACCACCACGCCCAGCTTATTTTTGTATTTTCAGTAGAGACGGGTTTCACCATGTTGGCCAGGCCTCTACCCCCATCTCTTTTAGGACCTTGCAAGAAAGTCCTGAAACTTTGGGGCAGACTTATCTGTAGCTTGGGTGCTATATAAACACATACCTAGGTTGATCAACTTTTTAAAGAGACAATACAAAGCCACATCAAACTATGTATCAGACAAAAAAACCCCATAATAATTTAGCCTATAACCTGTAACTATACGCATATATTATTATTTTCACATGATAACATGAAAAATACATGTTTATTTGAATTATGTATTTTCAGTAAACAGTAGTTTACAATGAGAAACAGAAAGTCCTATAATATAGCAATTTAACTCTTTAAAAATCCTTTACTAGTTCATATGGAACCAAAAAAGAGCCCACATTGCCAAGTCAATCCTAAGCCAAAAGAACAAAGCTGGAGGCATCACGCTACCTGACTTCAAACTATACTACAAGGCTACAGTAACCAAAACAGCATGGTACTGGTACCAAAACAGAGATATAGACCAATGGAACAAAACAGAGCCCTCAAAAATAATGCCGCATATCTACAACCATCTGATCTTTGACAAACCTGACAAAAACAAGAAATGGGGAAACGATTCCCTGTTTAATAAATGGTGCTGGGAAAACTGGCTAGCCATATGTAGAAAGCTGAAACTGGATCCCTTCCTTACACCTTATACAAAAATTAATTCAAGATGGATTAAAGACTTAAATGTTAGACCTAAAACCATAAAAATGCTAGAGGAAAACCTAGGCAATACCATTCAGGACATAGGCATGGGCAAGGACTTCATGTCTAAAACACCAAAAGCAATGGCAACAAAAGCCAAAATTGACAAATGGATCTAATTAAATTAAAGAGCTTCTGCACAGCAAAAGAAACTACCATCAGAGTGAACAGGCAACCTACAGAATGGGAGAAAATTTTTGCAATCTCCTCATCTGACAAAGGGCTAATATTCAAAATCTACAATGAACTCCAACGAATTTACAAGAAGAAAACAAACAACCCCATCAAAAAGTGGGCGAAGGATATGAACGGACACTTCTTAAAAGAAGACATTTATGCAGCCAAAAGACACATGAAAAACTGCTCATCATCACTGGCCATCAGAGAAATGCAAATCAAAACCACTATGAGATATCATCTCACACCAGTTAGAATGGCAATCATTAAAAAGTCAGGAAATAACAGGTGCTGGAGAGGATGTGGAGAAATAGGAACACTTTTACACTGTTGGTAGGACTGTAAACTAGTTCAACCATTGTGGAAGTCAGTGTGGCGATTCCTCAGGGATCTAGAACTAGAAATACCATTTGACCCAGCAATCCCATTACTGGGTATATACCCAAAGGATTATAAATCATGCTGCTATAAAGAAACATGCACATATATGTTTATTGTGGCACTATTCACAGTAGCAAAGACTTGGAACCAAGCCAAATGTCCAACAATGATAGACTGGATTAAGAAAATGTGGCACATATACACCATGGACTACTATGCAGCCATAAAAAATGATGAGTTCATGTCCTTTGCAGGGACATGGATGAAGCTGGAAACCATCATTCTCAGCAAACTATCGCAAGGACAAAAAACCAAACACCACATATTCTCACTCATAGGTGGGAATTGAACAATGAGAACACATGGACACAGGAAGGGGAACATCACACACCGGGGCCTGTTGTGGGGTGGAGGGAGAGGGGAGGGAGAGCATTTGGAGATATACCTAATGTTAAATGACGAGTTAATGTGTGCAGCACACCAACATGGCACATGTATACATATGTAACTAACTTGCATGTTGTGCACATGTACCCTAAAACTTAAAGTATAATTTAAAAAAATAATAAATAAAAAAATAAAAATCCTTTACTGGGCATTTAAATTTTTATTTTTATTTTTATTTAAATTTCTATTTTTATTTAAAATTTTCAGCCTATATTATATACCCTGAAGGTACATAAATGTAAGACTTTCAAAGAAAGAACATAAATCAGCTAATTGCTTCAACTTGGGAGGTGGAGGTTGCAGTGAGCTGAGGGCATGACACTGCACTCCAGACTAGGTGACAGAGTGAGACTCTGACTCAATAATAATAATAATAATAATAATAATAATAATAATAAATACAGTCATTTAGCCTCCTTATCTGTGATATCTTGGTCATGCTGGTGTTCGTATTATAATTGTTCTATTTTCGTTATCCAAGTTCTTAGAAAACACAATTACAATATTCTCAATTTGAAAAATTATATGTGTGCTATCTTGATGCAAAGCACAACAGTGATTTTGTAGTGTACGTCAAAGATGGACTGTTAACACTGATGCTTTTGATACCTTTAAATTGCACATTTAAGTTACATTAATCAGAGTGAACACACAAATTGTGGTTGCCAACGTCAGCAGTAATGGAAAGAAAAAGAAAAAAAAGCAGCAATAGCAACTATAGAAGATGGATAATCGGTGATTTAGTCATTTGACACTAAAACAGTGTTGCTTTTAGTCCCTATTTTTTTCACCTTTTATATTTCGTTTTATATTAATATTTTATATTTGGTTCTTTTCCCTGCAACCTTCCACACTAGTTGCCAACCAGAAATTTTTCTGTCCCAGTGACAGATTCACTAGCATGTAAGACTTTCAGTACTACAACTAGGATAAGTTCTAGGCAAACCTATGTGATTGGTATCCTAGGCCTACCGCTCTAAGTCCAGATGGAAGTCCAGATCGCAGCACATGAGCCTGCAGTCAGAGAAAACCTTCTAACCCAACTAGTTTCCTTTAGCCAGCTGCCATGGGCTCTTCTTTCATCTCTTCCATTCTGGGGCTTACAGGTCTACCCTGAAAGACCTAGGCTGATATGCTAGTTGGCTGTATGTTTTGTCCCCATGTAGTCCCTTTGGAGGCCCTCTACCCAGTCAAGGAGGCCTTGAGCTTTCCCCAATAAAGCCTGGACTCAATGTGGGAGAAACACTTGTGATCCTGAATGCATTTTAGGACATAAAGAGTTTGGGCTGCAATGGTCATCTAAATGAGTCCAGGTTTATTTCATCATCCCCATTCTGCTTACTTTTAATGTCACTGCTTTGTGTTAACATAATATGACCCAGAAAAAATGTCAAATTATGGATTTTATGATTGCCTTAATTGTAAGCCAAAAACATTGTTGACTTTTGTTACTATTTCATGAATATTTTCAAGGAACTTACAATCTGTTCTACAGCTCTATGTATATAGATATAATCATATAAAATATGTACATAATTGAATATATATGTGCTTGTATGTATGACTATCAGCTTTTTGCATATGCTGGAGTCTAAATTCACATATATTTTTGCCTAATTGACTACTTAGTATATAAAATTATAAAGAGTATATTTTAATCTCACTTTATGATTTTTCTTTCCATAGTTTTTCATTTTATCCTAAACCTCAGAGATGACCATTAATAATACTATATACATTCCTGATTTTCAGAGGTTATTATTAACCCTTTTAATATTTGACAAGTTCATAGACCAGAAAAAATTATATTCTACTTACATTTCTTTAATGTTATGGGGCTTCCCAGTTGCTTGATGGTGATAGGAAATTTATAATTTTTCTATGAATTACTATTTCATCACCGTTGTCTCTCTATTCTTATGGGTTTGTTTGACCTTTTATAACATACGCATGCAAACACACACACACACACACTTAAGTGTTGCACAATACTCATAAAATTTACCATCTGAATGCTTTTTAAGTGTATAATTCCATGACATTAAGTACATTGTTGTGCAACATCATCTCTCTGCAGAGCTCTTTCCATGTTGCAAAGCCAAAACTGTAAATCAATTAAACAATAAGCCCTCATTCCTCCTCTTCCCAGGCCCTGCAAACTATTATTCTATTTTCTGTCTCTGAATCTGACAACTTCAGTAACTCAAAAATGGAATGAATCATGCTGTATTTGTCTTTTTTGAAAAAGCCTGGCTTTTTTCACTAAGCCCGATGTCCTTAAGGTTCATACATATTGTAGTGTGTGTCAGAATTTCATTTCTTTTAAAGGTTGAATAACATTTTATTGTATGTATATACCACATTTTGTTTAGCTGTTCATCTGTCAATGGATACTTGGGTTTCTTCCACATTTGGGCTATTGTGAATAATGTTTCTGTGACTATGGGCTTACAAATATCTCGAGACTCTGTTTTCAGTTATTTTGTGTATATGTCCAGAAGTGAACTTGCTGTGTCATATGATGATTATATTTCTAAATATTTTGAGGAATCACCATACTATTTTCCAGCAGCGACTTTGTTTTACATTCCCACTAGCAGTGTACAAGTTATTTTCTGTTTCAATTTCTCCACATCCTTGTCAATACTTGTTATTTTCTGTTTTTTTTTTTTTTTTTTTTTTCTGATTATAGCCATCCTGATGGGTATGAAGTGGTATCTTTTTGTCTCTTTCATCCCTGTATAGGTATAATAGGGTCTTATAGATCAGAAATTTATCATTTTTAAAAAGGGCATGGTTTTGTTAAAAATTGGTTATTGGGAGATATTTTCTGTCATTGTATTTCAACATTACTTGTTACATGTAGAAAATCTACTGATATTTGTGCATAAATTTTATCAATGGATTATCACTATATTGAGAAGTCTATTTGTTTATTTTTGGGGATGAACATTTTTGAAATGATGTAAACTGCAATTAACAGTAATTTTGCCACATCTTTTCAACAATAATTCTGTGAATGGAGAGAGAGAGAGATAGAGAGAGACAGAAAGAGAGAGAGGGAGGGAGGGAGCACATGCATTCTGGTCTCTCCTCTTTTTATGAAGACAACAATCCCATCAGATTAGGACCCCACACTTATTACCTCATTTAACCCTAATTATTTCTCAAAGTCCTCATCTCCAAATATCATCACATTGGGGGTTGAGGCTTAAACATATGTATTTAGGGGGACACAATTCAGTCTATAAAATTCCACTCTGTGTTCCCCAAATTCATGTTCTTCTTACATGCAAAAAAATTCATCCCATGCCAAGAGTCCCAAAAGCCTTAAGCCATTCCAGCATCAATTTTAAGTAGAAAGTCTCATCTGAATAGCATCTAAATCAGGAATGGGTAACATTTGAGATATGATTTATCTTGAGACAAAATTTCTCCCCAACTGTGAAAGTGTAAAACCAGACAAATTATGTGTTTCCAAAATATATTTTATTTATTTATTTATTTATTTTGAGACAGAGTCTCGCTCTGTCGCCCAGGCTGGAGTGCAGTGGCGCGATCTCTGCTCACTGCAAGCTCTGCCTCCCGGGTTCACGCCATTCTCCTGCCTCAGCCTCCCGAGTAGCTGGGACTACAGGCGCCCGCCACCACACCCGGCTAATTTTTTGTATTTTAGTAGAGACGGGGTTTCACTGTATTAGTCAGGATGGTCTTGATCTCCTGACCTCCTGATCTGCCTACTTCGGCCTCCCAAAGTGCTGGGATTACAGGTATGAGCCACCACGCCCAGCCCTGTTTCAAAAATATAGTGGTGAAATAAGCATAGGACAGACATTCCCATTCCGAAAGGGAGAAATTAGAAGGCAGGAAGAGGTGATGGGTTTCAAGAAATTCCAAAACCTAGCAGTGCAAGTTCCGTTGTGTCTTAGGCTTGAGAGTTGGCCATACACTACACACCAGACACCTCAATTGCTTTGTCTTTAGTCTCCCATATGAACTGAGATGTAAATTAAATCCTATCCAAATCCTATTTGGCTGAATGTTCTTCCTTCCAGGCTCACTGAGGTGGTGCATTACTTCCACAATCCTAGGTGGCAGTCCCACTCCCTTGGCTTGGGAGCCTACCCTGTTCATACTATCTTTACAATGTCCCACCCATAAGGCACTGGGCTAGGGCAACTTGGTCCGCTGAAATTAAAAAGGAGGCCCCGCCCTGTATAACCAAAGAGAATGCAGCCTTGATCCTTTGGTCTGTGGCACCCCGATAATCTTTGAGTCAAAGGCGCAATTATTCTTTACTTTTCTTGAAAGATAAAGCATGCTCATAGCAAAATAGCCCTTTTGTCCCATTCTTTTTCCTTCATTTCCAACTGGCAATGTCTCTGCCAGTATAATTCCATCTATGCTGGTATTGTCTTATGTTTCTGATTTCTGCTGAGATGGCTGATTAAATCCATTATTCACATCCGTAATCTCTTTATCAAATGATTTTCTAGCCACACCCTTGGTATTCTCTCCAGAACACGTTTTCTGATTTTGGGAAATATGGATAGGCTGAGAATTTCTGGCTAACAATTATTTCAATTACTTCTTTAATCCATCTCTCCTCTCTTTCATTTTACCATAAGCAGTCAGGAGGACTCAGGCCATAACTTGAACATTTTGCCTAGGGGTCACCTCAGCTGTTATCTAACGTCAGCTTGCAAACTCTATCTTTCACAAAACTTTAGAACACAAGTTAGCCAAGTCTTTGCCACTTTTTAACAGGAATGACCTTTCCTTCATTGTCCAATAACATGTTGCTTTATTTCTGTCTAAGACCTCACTAGAAGCACCTTTAATATTCATATTTCTCCCAACATTCTGTTCATGATTATGTACATATTCTCTAAGAAGAGGTAGGCGTTCCCTTTTCTCTCAGTGCCCTCACCAGAATCACCTTTAATATCTATATTTCTATCAACAGTCCTTTATTGCAATCTAGGCTTTTTTTAGTTTACACCTTAAAATGATTCCAACCTCTACCCATTACCCAGTCCCACAGCCACTGCTGTATTTTTAGGTATTTGTTAGAGCAGCACCTCATATCTTGGTACCAAAATCTGTATTAATCAGGGTTCTCCAGAGAAACTGATCGAATAAGATATTAGTTCATCATATGGTGGAAGGTTGAGAACTCAAAAATCATCAATAAAACACTAGTAACATCCCATTTGGTACATTAGTGTTTTTGTTTTTATTATATTCACTTTATATATATAAAAGAAATGTTTGATGTTTGGAAATGATGTTGGTAATGATATCTTCTCCTTTTCATTGGGATAATAAAATCTCTGACGTAACTTAAAATTGCTGTTTTTCATTCCAGAGAGAAGTTACATGGAGGAGGGAAGATAGGCCACTTTTCAAAAACAACGGTTTCAACTCATTTTCTACATTTCTCTACCTGTGCTTCTTATTACTACTGCCATTTTAATAAAACAGAAAAAATTGAGAGAGCTATGCTATAGAGGGGAAAATGAAAGTGAGAGGTATGTATATACATATATATGTAAAAAAATATATATACATATATTTACTCTTATTACATTAAGAAAGACAAGAAAAATGTATTTATGTTTCATCAGGAATAATCTCCAACTGTAGCTAAGGCAATATAAAGAGAGGCTCAGGGAGACATTTTAAAAATGGTTTGATGCTGTTTGTTATTTGTTTTGATATTTTTTCTCATCTTACAAATTACTAAAACTACAGAGTTTACCACTAGTATCATGGTAAGAGCAGATATGGCTGCCAGGAGAATTTTGGAGGTTTATTTAGCCTCTTAGTTCACCGACCCTGTCCATACAGTCATATCACCTATGAGCTCTATTAGAATTATATGACACTGCATTTCAAGGGAACTTCCAAAAACTAAATTTATTAGATACAGATTTTCAGGCCAGTGATAAACATCTTTATTAGAACACCTCTCTCAATTAGAGATAATATCTATAAACCTATTTTGACAATATTTATTTTTCTAAATATAGATATTGCTGATTTGTAAAATCATTTCTTAATTAGAAACTACATGTGTAGTTAATAATGTCAGGTTAAAGAGACAGGAGGCACCACCATGTAGGAAGAGAATTACGCTTAGCTTCAGGAAACCTCGTTTTAAGTTATAAATCTTGCATGTAATACTGTGATACCGTGAGTAAGTGATTTAATCTTTATTTCCTTAAGATTATTCTCTATAACTCTACAGAATGGGAGGTAATAATAGCTTTTCAATTTATCTAAACTTTTGAGTACATCCATTTAATGAGTGAAATCATCATGTTATCTGTAATCAGTTGCACAAATTTTTAAACATCATATTGAGCCCCTTATTCATAATTTACAATATTTCATCACAGATATATTTACATCTAGGTTTACCCTCCGAGAACTGATGCAAAGATAAAACGTGTTTATATTTTCTGAGAGAGAGAAAGAAATATATTGATCTGTAAAGAAAAAGTATTTAAAATTTTTGAGTGCTACTTTATGGTTTGCCTTATTGGAACGGAGGAATTAGGGATATCATAAAATAAGGGGAGCTGCCTATATAAATGTGGGTTTACAAACATAAATTCTTGATTAAATGTAGAATGAGAATGAGAAGACTCAGTTACCAGACTGAGGTAACTGATGGCATTTGTTCTAATATTGAAACAGTACCTGTTTAAGTTGTTAAAAGGAGACCTTTCATTTATTTGAATCGCTGTTTCTTTGAAGAACAGTTTTCATTCAGTTGTTTAATTATTCAAGAATTACAATTTTCATCACTTTAAAACAAAGTTTATCAATTTTATAGCTCTGTGTCAGAAGAAAGCAGCAGTAACAGCAAGTCATCCCTCAGTGAAAGGTGAGTATGGGACTATGTGTTGAATCATTTTGCATTGTAAGTTTTGATCATTGCTTAGGAGCACTTAAAAATGGTTAGTTTGAAACCAAGCATTCTTTATGTATTTGTTTAATTCTCTCCATAGGTCATTTTATAATAATAAATAATAAAACCTTGGTTTTGTGAAATCTCAGCCTCTCCTTGACCTATAAAAGGAGAGATTTTTGTGCACTCACACTGGCAACTACCATCTATGAGCATGTAAATTGTGAGTTGTTTTTTTTTTTTTAGCATCGGGGTTTTTTTTTTTTAAGCATTTTTTTTTTTAGCATGTGTTTTAGTGATATCTTACTGGCATATAAAAAGATAACTGATGCTCTAATCAGCGGTACCATCCTTTTTGGCATCATGGACCGGTTTAGTGGAATAAAATTTTTCCACAGGGTGGGGTAGAGGGGGATAGTTTCAGCTCACATCATCAATCATTAGTTAGATTCCCATAAGGAGTGTGCAACCTAGACCTCTCATACGTGCAGTTCACAATAGAGTTCATGCTGCTATGAGAATCTAATGCCACTGCTGAGCTGACAGGAGGTGGAGCTGAGGCAGTAATGCTTGCTGGCCTGTGCTCACCTTGTGCTTTGTGGCCTGGTTCCTTTTATTTATATGTGTGTGTGTGTGTGTGTGTGTGTGTGTGTGTATATATATGTATGTGTATATATATATGTGTATATATATGTATATATGTATATATATGTGTATATATATAAATTATACTTTAAGTTCTAGGGTACATGTGCACAATGTGCAGGTTTGTTACATATGTATGCATGTGCCATGTTGGTGTGCTGCACCCATTAACTCGTCATTTACATTAGGTATATCTCCTAATGCTATCCCTCCCCCTCCCCCCACCCCACGACAGGCCCCGGTATGTGATGTTCCCCCTCCTGTGTCCAAGTGTTCTCATTGTTCAATTCCCACCTATGAGTGAGAACATACAGTGTTTGGTTTTTTGTCCTTGCAATAGTTTGCTGAGAATGATGGTTTCCAGCTTCACCCATGTCCCTACAAAGACATGAACTCATCATTTTTTATGGCCGCATAGTATTCTGTGGTGTGTATGTGCCACATTTTCTTAATCCAGTCTATCATTGTTGGACATTTGGCTTGGTTCCAAGTCTTTGCTATTGTGAATAGTGCCACAATAAACATACGTGTGCATGTGTCTTTGTAGCAGCATGATTTATAATCCTCTGGGTATATACCCAGTAATGGGATGGCTGGGTCAAATAGTATTTCTAGTTCTAGATCCCTGAGGAATCACCACACTGACTTCCACAGTGGTTGAACTAGTTTACAGTCCCACGAACGGTGTAAAAGTGTTCCTATTTCTTCACATCCTCTCCAGCACCTGTTATTTCCTGACTTTTTAATGATCGCCATTCTAACTGGTGTGAGATGGTATCTCATTGTGGTTTTCATTTGCATTTCTCTGATGACCAGTGATGATGAACATTTTTTCATGTGTCTGTTGGCTGCATAAATGTCTTCTTTTGAGAAGTGTCTGTTCATATCCTTCACCCACTTTTTGATGGGGTTGTTTGTTTTTTTTCTTGTAAATTTGTTTGTGTTCTTTGTAGATTCTGGATATTAGCCGTTTGTCAGATGAGGAGATAGCAAAAATTTTCTCCCATTCTGTAGGTTGCCTAGTGGTCTGCTTTCTAAGAAGCCATGGCTGTGGGGTTGGGGACCCCTGCTCTAAATGATGTCATAGGTGCTTATAGTTCTGCTATTATTTCAGAAAAAAAATTACTGAGAGTAAGTTTGAGCATTGAAATTATCATTCATTTCCCTGTCTCAATTCATCTGAGATAGTAAATTTAGGGATCAGATTATGAAGAATCAAACACAACATTTTATAAAATTAGATATCCTTCTTTTACTATCAGTATATACAGATTTTCCCTACCAAATGTTGGATAGACTATAAAATGGGAGAGTATTTCAAGTAGCATCCAATATTATTTCTCATGTTCTCTCTTCATCCTTGGAGTACAAAGTTAAACACTGACTGTGATGATTCATTTAGTAAATATTGAGATACATATCTGCAGTGAGGGAATTCCTGCTTTTAAGAGAAGCACTGTTAAATATGGGCCATCACCGTCCTAATTCTATTGTTAATGTTGGCTGCTTTAGGTTCTACAAAAATTAAGCATATCTCTGCTTTCTAGGCAAGATTATCTTTGATCCTTACTTTGATCACTTTGTGATGCATATTATAGAAGAGAAAATAATCAAAAGTGTTTTTATTATAATTCCTACCAAGAAGATAGAAAAAAGAGCTACTTACACTCAAAAATTGTGGATGGAAGGAAGTACTAAAGAGCAGAAATAATGTAGAGGAAAATAAACAGATAAAAACATAAGCAAAGACAAAAGCTGATTCTTTGAAAAGATTAATATAATTGATAAACATTAGCTAATAGTTCAAAATAAAACGAGAAATGATACAAATTACTATCATGTAATAAAATGATATCATGTCTAATTTTCTGGACATTAGAAGAAGTCAAAGTTGATAAGTTTAAATATTTAGTTAAAATACAACACATTTTTAAAAAAACACTTCTTTCCATCTTCCCAAAATGGAATAGAGAGAAGAAAAAGAAAGTATAAAGAAGTCTATATTTATTCAAGACCTGGAAGCTGTAATTTAGAACTTTCTCACAAAGTGGATACTTGAGCATGATCTTTTCATGGCATGCATCAGAACACAAAGCCAAGCCAAATTCAGTGAACATTTCCTCAATTCCATCAGCTTATGTTTTATTATATAAACAAGTAACAATGTCAAACTCAGTGTCAATGAAGGTGGTGTGTGTAATATACTCCATCCACTATAATGGGAGATACTACAAAGTCACATGGCAAAGAACATGTATAAATAATCGTATCTTAAGATATAAGTGAAAAATTGAGGACAATAATTCAAACTATTACATCCAGATGTTTAAGGAGGAAATACAGAAATACAGCAGTCCTCCCTTATCTGTGTGTGTGGGAGACATTCCAAGACCCGTAATGGATGTCTAAAATCACAAATAGTAACAATTCTACATTTACTTGTTTTTTCCTATATATATGTACCTATGATTAAGTTTAATTTGTAAATTAGACACATCAAGAGATTAAGAATAAATAATAATATAATTGAACAATTATAATAGTGTAATGTAATAAAAGTTATGTGAATATGATCTCTCTGTCTCAAAATACTGGAGTTTTTTTTGAAGTGTGGTTGACTGAAGATAATTTAAAGCATAAAAAACAAAACTGCAGATAAGAGGGGACTACTGTAATACCACTCTTACATATACTTATGCCGAGAATACAACAAAGGGAGCATTTCTCATCATGTTTTATGAGGTCAGCCTAGCTTTATGGCCCCCAAATTTAAGGGAACTATCAGAAAAGAAAATTATAGATCTATTTCTAATTAGAGATGTAGAAATGCTAAATAAAAGATTTCTAAATAAATCCACTTAGTATTATAGAGGATCATATATTATGGCCATGGAGATAGCCTAGGTATCTAAGAATGAAAAACTAGTTTAAAATATGTTTTACCATATTAAGGAAAAGGAGAAAAAATTATATGATAATTTCTATATATAAAGAAAAATACCCTTTAAAGAAAAAAAAACACTTTTATGATAAAAATTCCTAGTTAACTAGTGAAAAAAACTTTTAAAAACTGATAAGGAACATCTTCAAAAAAGCATACAACTATTTTAGTTAATAGTGAAATCGTGAATGTTTCCTTCCTGAGGTCAGGAGGATGTCCGTTATTGTTTTCAACACTGACATTTTCAACATCATATGGGAAATCCTAGCTGGTAAAATAAGGTAAGAAAGAAGTAAGCAAATGTAGTAAGATCAGAAATGAAGAAAGAATACTGTTATTGTTTGCAGATGATATGGCTTCAAATTTCAATGCACAAAAATTTGAAGAAATAACAAAACAAAATTAATAAAGAAAATATAAGGTTTTTGGATACAAGGCTACATATAAAAATCAATTTTATTTTTGTGTAAGCAACAGTTATAAAATGAAATTTAAAAAATGCAACTATATATAGTATAGGGAAATATGTATATATGATACATAGGGATATATATCCAGTGAAAAAGTGCAATACAGTTACACTTGTAATATAAAATACTGCTGAGAATTTTAATATCTAAACCAGTTGAAGAACATACTGTTCAATATTTTTAAGATATAATTTTTCCCTAATTGATATGTAGATTTAATGCAATCCCAAAATAAATATCTTGACATTTTTTGGTGGAAAATTAAAATTAGATTGTAAAATTTATATAAAGATAAATGGAGTCATATAGTCAACAAAATCTTGAAAACACAGGAAAAAGAAAACTTATACTACCTGATATTGACAACTTTTGTTAAGTAATCAAAACAATATAGGAGCATCATAGGACAGACAAATAAACCAATAAAAAAGAAGGAAGTGTTCAGAAACAGTTGTATAATATACTCACATCTTATTTATACTTCTGGTGCCACTATTATTTAGTGGATAAAAAAGTGATCTTTTCAATATATAGTAGGTTTTAAATTGCATTTCCTTGATGACATATGAATTAGTGATGTGGAGCACCTTTCCATATACCTGTTCTTCGTTTTTATGTTTTCCTTGGAGAACTGTCTGTCTAGCTTATTTGCCCATTTTTTGATCAATTTATTTGTTTTTCTGCAATTGAATTGTAAAAGTATTTTATACATTTTGGATATTAATCTTTTGCCAGAGATGTGGTTTGCAAATATTTTTCCTAGTCTATAGGTTCTCCTTTCATTATATTGCTTCTTTAGCTGTACAGAAGCTTGCTAGATTAACATAGTTCCATTTATTCATTTTTGTTTTGCGGCCTGAGCTTTGGTGTGATGTCTAAAAATTAATTGCTAAGGCCAGTATCAAAGAGCTTTCCTTCTATGTTCTCTGTTAAGAGTTTTATTATTTCAGGTCAAGAATTTAGGCATTTTCTTCCTTTTTGATTTCATTGTTGTGTATGGTGTAAGAAAGAATCTGATTTTATTCTTTTGTATATGAAAATCTAGTTTTTCCAGAACCACTTATTGAAGAGACTACTGTTTCCCCATTCTGTCCTCTAGGTGCCCTTGTTGAAAATTAGTTGATCATATATGTTTGGATTTATTTCTGGGCTCCCTATTTTGTTCCATTGGTCAATGTTTCTGTTTTGATGTCAGTGCCATTAATGTCTTGATTACTATAGCTTTGTAATATAACTTCAGATCTGGAAGGCAAAGTCTCCAACTTTGTTTTTCTTTCTCAGTATTGGTTTAACTATTTGGAATTTTTTGTGGTTCCATATTAATTTTAGGTTTGTTTTTCTATTTCTGTGAGGAATGCCACTGGCATTTCTAGAGAGATTTTGTTAAATCTGCATATTGATTTGAATATCATGAACATTTCAATATTATTTTGATCCATGAACATGGTATGTCTTTACATTTATTTGTGTCTTCTTCATCTCCTTTAATCAATGTTTTATTGTGTTCAGTGTACAAATGTTCCACCTTCGTGATTAATTTGAATTCTAAGTATATTATGTTTTTGATGTTATCAGAAATGGAACCGTTTTATTAATTTCTTTTTCAGCTAGGTGGTTCTTCGTATATAAAAATACTTGTGATTTTTTATATTGATTTTGTATCCTACAACTATACTGAATTCATTTATTGGTTTTTTCTAAGCTTTGGGGTTTTCTACATATAGGATTATGTCAATTGCAAATAGAGATAATTTACTTCCTCCTTTCTGATTTAGAGGCCTTTTATTTATTTTCCTTGTCTGATTGTATGTACTAGTACTTCCAGTACTATGTTGAATAGAAATGATGAGAATGGGCATTTTTGCTTTATA
The DNA here is from genome assembly GCF_000001405.40 of Homo sapiens. Lineage (NCBI taxonomy): Eukaryota > Metazoa > Chordata > Mammalia > Primates > Hominidae > Homo > Homo sapiens. The sequence continues at coordinate 39,408,808 of NC_000008.11, forward strand.
CCAGATCTTAGTGCAAAAGCTTTATGATGTTAGCTATGGGTTTTTAACAAATGTCCTTTATTATGTTGAGAAAACTGTCTTATATATCTAAACTGTTGAAAATATTAGAAAAGGATGCTGAAGTTTGTCAAAAGCTTTTTTGATGAGTCTGTCCCACAGACTCTGGCCAGGCAACCAATGAAAGAAATACACAGACACAGGTATTTTGCCTGAGAATGCAGCTAGGGAACTGCACAGCTTAGCACCGCTGACAAGAGTGCAGCTCCAATAAGCTGGAGATGCTCGTATTTATTCAGTGCAGATTTAATGACAAAGGCTTGGAGCAAACACAATTTGTGGGTAATTAACATTGTCCACTCCCCTGAGTATAGAGCAGTCCTACAGTAAACAAATTTATCTAGATAAGTTCCTTTACATTCCCTTGTTATCTACCCTTTGCCCTCAGCCTCTGGATAAGAGAATTTGGCTGCCTTCAGCCATAATTCTCTTCTGAAGCTTTTGCAAAACTACCCAGCCTTCCAAGAAGGTTTGCGTCTTTCCTATTTTTCCCACCACCCTGACTGATCCTCCTACACTTCTTTGTGTGTAAATTTACATGATCATGAGGTTTTTATTTTCTTATTCTGTTAATGTGATATGGCATATTGATTTGCATGTGTTAAAGCAGACTTGCATGCCAGGAATAAATCCAACCTGGTTATGATGTGTAAACTTTTGATGTGTTGTTGAGTTCAGTTTGCTACTGTATTATTGATGATTATTGCATCAATGTTCATCAGAGATACTGGCCTGTAGTTTCATTTATTTATTTTTTTGGGCAGTGTCTCTGACTTAGGCATCAAGGTGATGCTGGTCTTGTAAAATGTTTTAGAAAGTGTTCCTTTCAGCTCTAATTTTTGGAAAAATTTAAGAAATACTGATAATAATTCTTCCCTGAATTTTTGGTAGAATTCAGCTATGAAACCATCTGGTCCTGGGATTTTTATTTGCTGAAATGTTTTTAATTCTTCAAGCTATCTATTTCCTCCTGATTCAATCTTCAGATGATATTTTTCTAGGAATCTATCTATTTCCTCAAAGTTATCAATTTTGTTGACGTATAATTCCTCATAATCACCCTTTTTAAAACTTTTTTATTTCTGAGGCATCTGGTAGTGATGTCTCCACTTTTATTTCTAATTTATTTATTTAAGTATTATCTCTCTCTCTTTTTAAAAATTACTCTATCTAGGAGTTTGCCAATTTTATTTTTTAAATAATCAACTCTTGGTTTTATTGATTTTTTTTTCTTGTTTCTCGGTCATCTATTTGATTTATTTCAGTTCTAATCTTTATTATTTCCTTTCATTCAATAACTTTGGATTTCATTTGTTCTTTTTACAGCTCCTTGAGGCACAATGTTTGGCTATTTACTTGGGATCTTTCATCTTTTCTAATGTAGGCATTTATTGCTACAAACTTCTCTTTTAGAACTACTTTTGCTGCATCCTGTGCTATGTGAACTCCAGGAAGCTCCCTAGGTTGGTGTCAGTGGCTGTAAGGACTACAGGATTCTCCAGTAGCAAAGAGTGTGGTGTCTGTGGTGATAATGGGAACTGTTGGGGTCTACTGCTTACCTTTTTCCCTGCAGAAAAACTTCCCTTCAGGTTTTGATCTGATTCTGACTGTGGGGATGGGGTAGCACAGGGAAAGTGTTTTCTTCTCTTCTCTATGCAGCCATCCTGAGTGTCTATGCTTCACAAAATTTCTGCCACTCCCTTGATGTACACCTGAGCTCTCCTTAGTCTTTTTGGTCAAAACTAGCTTATTTGTTGTTTTGGTCTTTTTGTGGGAGGAGATGAGCATTAGGCACCTCTAGCTTAACATCTAGCTGATATTCCTCAGAATATGTAATGGTGGTGGGTAAATCACTTTTAATTCTACTATAATATCAAAAGACAAAAGCATTAAAATAATTATAAGTAAGAATATGTTAATGGGCACATAATGTAAGTTGTAATATAAAGTGTGACATCAGTAACAAAGTATTATTGGGAGGACAATAAAAGTGTATTATTGGGAGGACAATAAAAGTGTATTATTGGGAGGACAATAAAACTGTAGTGTTTAAATGTGATTAATAGTATCAGTTCAAAACAAACTGTTACAAGATTTTTAAATATAAGCTGCATAGTAATAAAAATACTTACAGAAGTTACACAAAAGTGAAAGAGAAAGGAATTATACAATAAAAAAGTAAATGAAACATGAAGGAATACAGCAAGAGAATAAAAGAGGGACAAAATAACCATAAGATTAAACAGAAAAAGATAATTAACAAAAGGCATTAGTAAGGCATGATGGCTGAATAGAATCCTTCAGCAATTGTACGCACTACCAAGAACATCAAGTCAAACAATTATCAATTTAAGAAAGCATCTTCATAGGAGCCCAAAACCAGATAAGCAATCACATTACATGGTGTTAGCATAATAACGTGGAAGGATGCACTGAAGGAGGTCAAAAGGACAGAGTTCCATTTCCTGCATCACCCCTCCCCCAGTGCCAGGCAGTATATCACAGAAGAGAGGCTGTGCTCTTGGGGGAGGGAAAGCAAAGTTGGTGTGGAACTTTGCACTGAAACTCAGTGCTGCACTGTCACAGCGGAACACAGCACTAGGCAGAATTCCACCAGTGCTGACAGCGAGCATTTAGATCAGTCGTGGGCCAAGGGGACTCCACTGCTTCAGCACGAGGAACCCAAGTCTCAGCCTACTTCACTGCAGGCTGATGAACATGGCCTGGGGCCCCAAATAACCTTGAGTGGCAGCTAGGCCATAGTGACTACAGTCCTTGGGTAAGCCCTGGTGCTGTCCTGGTCTCAGATGCTGTAGGCTTGATGTACAGCCCAGCGCAACACTAGCTGTGGCAGCCATGAGAGTGCCTACATCACCCCTTTCCCAATTCCATACCATGTAGTATGGAGAGAGACTTTTTCTGCTTGGGAGAAGGAGGGGAAAGAGTACAATAGACTTTATTTTGCAACCAGGTACCAGCCCAGGCACAGGAAAATAAAGCATACGGCAGAATCCCAAAGTCCTAATTTCAGGTCATTGCTCCTAAATGGTGTTTCTAGGTCTTCTAAACTTTGGTTAGAAGAGATCTGGCTGCCCTTGTGGGATGGACCGTTGTCCAACCTGTGTGATGAACCACCAGTTAACTAAAGTAGCCTTGAATAAACATCAATGGCAGTCAGGCAATGGTAGCTTCGGTCCTCAGATGAGCCCCAGGTGAGCCCCAGTACTATGCTGATCTGGGAGGCTGTAGGCTTCAGGTGTGACACAGCAGGGTACCAGCTGTGATGGCCACAGGAGTGCTCGTGTCTTCCCTTTCCCAATTCCAGGCAGCCCACTACACAGACAGATTCCTTCTGCCTGGGGAAAAGAGAGAGAAGAGAGCAAGGGACTTTGCCTGTGAACAGAGGAATTTCTCCCTATTTTCCTCCAAGTCCATCAGAGTTGTGTATTTAGGAGTCTGCAAGAGATACAGCATATCTGGGCTTAGAGATCCCTCTAGCACTGAAACGCCTGTAGAGGCAACAGACTTGAGTAACTTAATACTCAATCTTCTTTAAATTCTTGGAAAGTCATTTGAAGAAGGGCAAGTAAAAACAAAGCCAGACTCTGAAGACTAGAATAAATACCTAGAGACATCAATAGACTGCAATGCAATAGTAGTAGGGGCCTTTTAACACCACACTTTCAGCAATGGTCAGATCACCAGACAGAAAATCATCAATGAACTATTGGAATTAAACAACACTAGATCAAATGGCCCTAACTGACATTTACAGAATATTTTATGTAACTGGTGCAGAACATATGTTAATTTCATCAGCACATAGAACATCCTCCAGGACAGATCATATGTAAAGCCACAAAACAAGTCATAACACATTCAAAGATGGAATAATATCAAGTATCATTTTGAAAAACAATGGAATGAAACTAGAAATCAATGAAAAGAGGAACTTTGGAAACGATACAAATACATGAAACTTTAACAATGTGCTCCTGAAAGACCAGTGTGTCAATAGAGAAATTAAGAAAGAAATATTTTTAAAAATTGAAGGAAACAAAAATGGAAACAGAACATACCAAAGTCTGTGGAATGCAGCAAAACCAGTACTAAAAGGAAAGTTTATACCTATACATACTGACATCAAAAAAGTAGAAAGACTTCAGTTATGCAACCTCATGGTGCACTGCAAGAAAAAAAGCAAGGACAAACCAAACCACACATTAGTAGAAGAAAATAAATAATAAAAACTAGAGCAGAAATAAATGAAATTGAGAATTAGAAAGGTCCATGAAACAAGAAGTTTGTTTTTGAAAAGATAAACACATCTTTTGCTACATTGACTAAGAAAAAGAAAAAAATGGATTGAATACTTAAATGTAAGATACGATTTATATGAACCCAAATCAGAGAAAAATCATTACAATTGACACTTCAGTAATTTAAAGGCAGCATTCAAGTAGAGATATTATGAGCAAAAGTGTGTCAATAATTTGGAAAACCTAGAAGAAATGGACAAATTTCTAGACACATTCAGCCTATCAAGATTGAACCATGAATAACAGAAAATCTGAACAGATCAATAATGAATAATGACATAGTAGCTGCAATAAAAAGTTTTCCATCCAAGAAAAGTTCAGGACTAGATAGCTTTAATATTGTATCCTACCAAATATTTAACGAAGAACTAGTACCAATTTTACTCAAACTATTCCAAAACCTTGAGAAGGAGGGAATATTCCCAATATCATTCTACAAGGCCAACATTTCCTTCAAAAACCTTACAAAGACACAGCAATAACAACAAAAAACTACAGGCCAACATCCTGATGAAAATGCAAAAATCCTCATCTCTACTAAAATACCAAAAAAAAAAAAATTTAGCCAGGCATGGTGATGCAAGCCTGTAATCCCAGCTACTTGGGAGGCCAAGGCAGGAGAATAACTTGAGCATGGGAGGCAGAGGTTGCAGTGGGCCGAGATCATGCCACCAACCTCCAGCTTGGGTGACAGAGTGAGACTCCATCTTAAAAATAAATAAAAATGAAAATAAAAATAAAAATAAAACACTTATAAAAGAAATTAAAGAGGACACAAAAAAGTGGAAATATATCCCAAGCTCATGGATTGGAAGAATTAATACTGTTTAAATGTCCGTATAACCCAAAGCAATCTACAGATTCAATGCAATCGCTATCAAAATACCAATGACGTTCTTCACAGAAATAGAACAATAATCCAAAAATTCGTATGGAACCACAAAAGATAGTCTCTTTAACAAATAGTGTTGGGAATACTTTATATCCTCATGCTAAAGAATGAAATTGGGCCATTATACACAAAGGCCAACTCAAAATGGATTGAAGACTTAAATGTAAGATATGAATTATAAAACTCTTAGAAGAAAACATAGAGAAAAATCTTCATGACATTGGTCTTGGCAATGATTTCATGGATATGACATGAAAAGCACAGACAACAAATAAAAAAAAGACATATGGGGCAACATTAAACTCAAAAGCTTCTTCATAGCAAAGGAAATGCTGAAAATCCAATGGAATGGGAGAAAATATTTGCAAACCATTTATCAGTTAAGGGGCTAATTCCCAAAATATATTAAGAACTCTTTCAACTCAATAGCAAAAAACTAATAACCTGATTAAAAGTTAGCTGAAGACTTGAATAGACATTTTGCCAAAGAAAATATATAAGACTCTTACAACTCTGTAGCAAAATACCTAATAATTTAAAAAATGGGCTAAAGACTTCAATAGACATTTCTCCAAAGAGGACATACAAGTGGCCAATAGGCATATGAAAAGATGCTCAATTTCATTAACTATCAAATGTATGCTAATCAAAACCGCAATGAGATTCACCTCACACCTGTTAGGATAGATCTTAAAAACAACAACAACAACAGAGAAATGTTGAGGAGGATGTGGAGAAATTAGAATCTTTGTGTATACTGTTGGTGGGAATGCAAAATGTTGAAACCATTATGGAAAATGACATGGAGGGTTATCAAAAATTAAAAATACAATTACAATATAACCCAGCAATTCTACTTCTTGAAATTTATGGAAAAGAATTGAAATCAGGAAACCGAAGAGATATTAGCATTCTAATGTTCACTGAAGCACTATTCACAACTGCCAAGTGTGGCTACAACCTAAATGTCCATCGATAAATAAGTGGATAAAAATAAATGTGGCATCTCTCTCCTCCTTTCTCTCTCTCTCTCTCTCGCTCTCTCTTTCTCTCTCTCTCTCTCACTCTCTCTCTCTTTCTCTCTCTCTCTCTCTCTCTCTCTGTGTGTGTGTGTGTGTGTGTGTATGTGTATGTATCTAATGGAATATTATTCAGCCTTAAAAAGAAGATCCTGTAATGTGTAAAACATGGATGAACCTTGAGGACAAACACTGAATAATTCCACTTATGTGAGGTATCTAAAAAGTCAAACTCACAAAATTAGAGCAGAATGGTGGTTTCCAGGAACCAGGGGGTGGAGCAAATGGGTAGTTGCGTCAGTGGGCATAAAGTCTCAAATATGCATGATGAAAATGTTCTAGAGATCTGGTGAAAAACATTGTCCCTAAAATTAACAAAACCATATTGTACACTTAAAAATGTGGTAAGATGGTCGATCTCATGCTGTGTTCTTACCATATATAGTACAAATTTTTTAAAATAAATACTTTTGCCATTTATAAGATACCCTTAAGAAGGGAAAAAGGAACCGCAGGGATGCGGTTACACTGGCGAGAAAACAGTTTTGGCGGCGGGGAGAGTTGGGGAGGGTGGAGGGGGTGTTGTGATGGGAGGGGTGATTTACAGAGTGAGTAGCAGATGTGGAAGGTGGGCTCTACAGATAAAGACTTCGAGGAAGGTTGTTTCCCAGGGCAAGGGAACACAGAGAGTGAGGGAGTCTTGTCTTGAAAGCAGGAAACAAAGGACTAGGAAACTTAAACAAGTTAACCCTTTGAAGAAGAATGTCTTACTGTATTTAACATTTTGAAAGTCTATTATTGTGAATATTTATGCCACTTCCAGTTTTTAGTTATTACAAATACACCGTAATAAGCATTCTGGTATGTATATATATCTGTGAGCAATTGTCAAGTTATCGCCTGAGATAAATCCCTAGAAGATATCAAGAATAAATATAGTGTAATATGAAGACTTTTGTTGTTTTAAAATATCTATTACTAAATTATCAGTCCATTTGTATCAAGTTGTAACTTTCATAATTTATTAATTTATTAGCTAGTTTGGATATGTGAGTGGTATACTTTCTGAGCCCTAGCATATCTTAAATTCTACTTCTTTTATTTTACTACCTTACTGAATTTTCTTTGTAATTTTCCACTATGTCACTTTGTAATGAGCTATTTCTATAAAGAATATAGAAATAGAAGTAGAAAATACGAAATATGAACATCTGGAATTAGAGGCATTTTGAGACTCCCTTTAGTATGAAGGAAGCTTAGCATATTTTACCTTTAAAAAATCTCTCCCTTCACTAATCTTTCTGTTATGTAAATTGAGATTTTAGACCTAGCCTACTGTTAATAAATTTCTGCTTTTAAATATTATTTATTTTGGTTCTAAAATATTTTGTCTTTTTCAGTTTTATAAAGTTTACAGCAAACATTTTGAATTCATTTATATTTAACTGGTTTTATTTTTTAAAGTTCTAAAGAATGATTTTAACTTTTAATGGTGTTAAGATCCTTTTCTAGCCAGAGAACTTGGAATGCATGAATCTTAACTTTACCATCACTTTCTTCTCTTATTCAATAAATAATGTGTGCATGTGAGTGTGTGAATCATTCTTATTATTATAGTAGTAACACATAATAAACATTGATTAAAATATATATGTGAGTAAAAGAATGAAATGGTAATCATCATTAGTCCCAGCACCAGGGGTGATCATTCTTTAAAAATTTCATTATATAGATATACACACCAATGTGCATGCATGCATGTGTGTGTATATGTACATGTTGGTGTTATCTAATAAAAAGATACTTAGAATTACCACCTTTCAATTTTAAAATAAAATTGTTGCATATATTTAGAATGGAGTTTTCAAGTCACTTTATTTATTGATGTAAATAGTTACCAAACATGGATAAAAAACCAGTGTACTTTAACCAGTCACTTCTATTTTAAAACTAAGAGTATCTTCAGTCGTGGTAACAAGTAATATTTTTCTGGAATTTTTATTTTCTTAATTTTTTGCTTTTAATCACCCATAGTTTTAAAATTACTTGAGTTAGAAATGTGTTAGCTACAAGAAAGAAAAATGAGCAACATTGGCGTTTGTTTTGTTTTCTCCTACAGCACCAGTCTCTAACAACCTTGAATGCTACTGCTTGGAGAGAGGAGAGTAACAAATACATTATCAGAAACTGGCCCAAACCAAGGAGGAACAAGACACAATTTCTCTCTCATTGCTCTTGTCACTGCTGAGGGTTTTAAACTATGAAATAAATCATCTGGCCTGAATCTCATGACTTACGTCCATTGAATTCTCTGTATTTGCAGTCCAAATTCTACCCTATCAAATTTGGATCCATAAGATGCTCTGAATCAGGTGAAAGGAGCCTAAGACCCTCATCTCATAAAGGCAAGAGGGACTGCCAGTCAGCCTCACAGCAGAGAGTATCTGTTTTCCCTTCTGCTTCTTAGGTTGACCAGAATCTCCCTCAAGTCTGACCTATCCCCTTTCCTTCAGAGTTCCTAGCGTCTAGGTATTCTGTGACTGGTTACAGTGACATTTATGCAGATGGTATCTGAGTCCAATCCCTGTCTTCTTACTCCTGCTCATTTATGAAAGCTGTAAAGCCACTTTAGTGTGTTAAAATACCTGTTTGCCAAAAGTAGATTTACCATAAAGCTAAGGAAGCAAAAACTTAAGAGCAACTTAGTTGCACAGATTCTCTTCAAAGTCATGAAGCTAACTTTGTATTCTTAGAGTTTATCAAATTTTATATGGTCAGGCCCCATTGAGCCTGAATCATCTCGCTGTTCACAAGTTCCCTTGGCAGTGGTGTGCTAGAGCCATTTCATACTATCTCACCAGAGCTCACCAGTTAAAATTTCAGAATATTTGCAAGTCAGTTGTTAAACAGCCACTATTAAAAACATTACTTAAATCTAAATAAATTAAAAATCAATACTTGAAAGACACCATTTATTCATTATTTTGTTGTATTTTTATCTTTGCTTTTTAGGTTATAATTATTGCATCTTTATGGTGGAATTAGTATATTATGGTAATGTATGACTTGCATGTATTACCAACTCTTCTAGAAATATCAAATGGTAGCTTGAAATTAGCCTTTGCTGAGACTGATAAACCTATCAATGTGGACTTCCTCTCCCTCACATCACAGAAATAGCTGTATAATAATTGCTAGCAAACCACTGTTCTTGGGGGTAGTTCACCTTTTTTCTATTTTTGTTTTCAATAGCTTGTTGAAGCTACTTTTCTATCATGGCTCAAATCTATCTCCAACTCTTTCTGAATATGATTACCCAATTGGTATCAAAAAATTGGGTATAGAAAGAATATAACTAAACACAATAAAGGCCATGTGTTAAAAATTAAACCCCACAGTTAACATCATACTGAATGAGGAAAAGCTGAAAGCTTTTCTTGTACGATCTGGAACAAGGCAAGCTTCTCACTTCTACCACTTTTATTCAACATACTATTGGAAGTACTAGCCAGAGCAATTAGGCAAGAGAAAGAAAATAAAAGGCATATAAATAGGAAAGGAAGAAGTCAAAGTATCCCTGTTTGCCGATGACATAATCATATATATAGAAAATCCTGAAGACTTCACCAAAAAAATTGTTAGAAAAAATAAATCAAGATAGTAAAGTTGCAGAATGCAAAATTAACATACAAAAATCAGTAGCATTTCTATATACCAATAGTAAACTAGATGAAAAAGAAATCAAGAAGCAAATTAATTTACAATAGCTATAAAATTTTAAATATCTAGGAATAAACCAAGAAGGTGAAAGAGCTCTACAATGAAAAATATAAAAGATTGTAAAAGAAGTTGAAGAGGACACAAGTAAAAAATTCCATGTTCATGGATCAGAAGAATTAATATTGTCAAAATGTCCATGTTTATCCAAAGCAATCTTCAGATTCAATGAAATCTCTATCAAAATACCAGTGAAATTCTTCCCAGAAATAGAAAAAACAATCTTAAAATCCATACGGAAATGGAAAAGACTCTAGTAGCCAAAGCCATCTTGAGCAAAAAGAACGAAGCTGGAGGCATCACAGTACCCACTTCAAAATATGCTACAAAAGTATAATAATGAAAACAGCATGGCACTGGCATAAAAACAGTCACATAGAACAATGGAATCAAATAGAGAAATAAATCCATGTATTTAGGGCCAGCTAATTTTCATCAAAGGTAGCAAAACACACATTGGGAGAAGAACTGTCTTTGTCTCCTCAGTAAGTGGTGCTGGCAAAACTGGCTATCCACATGCAGAACAGTAAAACCAGGGCACTATCTCTCACCATATACCCAAACTTAACTCAAAATAAATTAAAGACTTAAATTTAAGACCCCAAACTATGAAACTACTAGAAGACTATAGGGGAAATACTTTATAAAATTGGACTAGGCAAGGATTTTTTTCAATAAGACCTCAGAAGAACAGGCAATAAAAGTAAAAATAGACAAATGGGATTACATCAAAGTAAAATACTTCTGCACAACAAAGGAAATCAATAGTGTGAAAAGACAATCTATAGGTTAAGAAAAAGTATTTGCAAAATATACTTCTGACAAGGGATTAATACCCAGAATATATAAGGAACTCAAACAATTCAGTAGCAAAACAAACCAAGTAATCCAATTTAAAAATGGGCAAACGACCTGAATAGACATTTCTCAAAAGAAGAAGTAATGGCCAAGAGACATACAGGCATATGAAAATGTGCTCAACATAATTGATTGTCAGAAAAATGCAAATAGAAACTACCATGAGATATCATCTCACCCCAGTTAAAATAGCTTATATAAAAAAGATAAGGAATAACATATGCTGGTGAGAAAGTGGAGAAAAAGGAACCCTTGTACACTATTAGTGGGAACATAAATTAGTACAACCAGTATGAATAACAGTTTGCAGGTTCCTCAAAATCTAAAACTTGGGGTACCATATGATCTAGCAGTACCACTGCTGGGCATATACCCAAAAGAAACAAAATCAGGCCAGGTGCAGTGGCTCATGCCTCTAATCCCAGCACTTTGGGAGGCTGAGACAGTTGGATCACCTGAGGTCAGGAATTCGAGACCAGCCTGGCCAACATGGTGAAACCCCATCTCTACTAAAAATACAAATATTAGTCTGGCATGGTAGTGGGCACCTGTAATCCCAGCTACTTGGGAAGTTGGGGCAGAAGAATCGCTTGAACCTAGGAGGCGGAGGTTGCACTGAGCCGAGATTGCACCATTGCACTTCAGCCTGGGCAACAAGAGTGAAACTCTGTCTCAAAAAAAAAAAGGAAAGAAAAGAAAAAGAAAAAGAAAAAGATCAGTATATTGAAGAGATATATGCACTCCCATGTTTGTTGCAGCACTGTTCACAATAGCCAAAAAATTGGAAACAACCTAAGCATCCATCAACAAAAGAATGGATACAGAAAATGTGGTACACTGCCGATCATTATGTTAAGTGAAATAAGCCAGGCACAGAAAGACAGACATCAAATATTGTCACTTGTTAGTGGTATCTAAAAATCAAAACAATTGAACTCATGGAGATAGAGAGTAGAAGGATGGTTACCAGAGGCTCGGAATGGTAGTGGCAATGAGGGTGAGGGTTCTGGAGGGGAGATATTCTTGTTCATTCATGGAATTTTACTCATTCATAGGAAGAATGAATAAGACCTACTATTTGCTAGCACAACAAGGTGACTATAATAATATACTTGTACATTTTTAAATAACTAAAAATACAGTTGGATTCTTTGTAACACAAAGGAAAAATTGAGGGAATAGATACCATTCTGCATGATGTGATTATTACTCATTGCACACCTGTATCAAAATATCTCATGTACCTCATAAATATCTACACCTACTATGTATCCAAAAAAATTTAAAAATAAAATGGCCAAGATGTACATGAAAAAATGGTCAACATCACTAATCATCAGTAAAATTCAAAGTAATAGTGAGATACTATTTCACCTCAGTTAGAATGGCTCTTATCAAAACACCAGGGGTTTGGTCTTGGTTCTGCTGCTCACTGCACAGAAAGCCAATAAGTATTGCCAGGGAAGATGGCTTTAATTGGGTGCTGCAGCCAAGTCCAAATTCATCTCCCTGATCAAATTAGAGATTTACATAGTAGGGAAGAAATATGTAACTATGTGTGGGAAAACAGGAACTCAGGAGGGGTAAAGAAGCAATCATGGGCTGGGTGTGGTGGCTCACGCTTGTAATCCCAGCACTTTGGGAGGCAGAGGTGGGTGAATCATCCAAAGGTCAGGAGTTGAAGACCAGCCTGGCCATCATGGAGAAACCCTGTCTCTACTAGAAATACAAAAATTAGCCAGGCTTGGTGGTGGATGCCTGTAGTCCCAGCTACTCAAGAGATTGGGGCAGGAGAATCACTTGAACCCAGGAAGGGGAGGTTGCAGTGAGCTGAGATCGCACCATTGCACTCCAGCATGGATGATAGAGATTCTGTCTGAAAAATAAAACAAAACAAAGCAAACAAACAAAAAAACAAATAAATTAAAGAAGCAATCGTGATGAATGAGAGAATGAATTATTGTCTGAATGTGATGATCTGGTGAGTTTCAGTTTTTTGATACCTTCTGAGAGGCCTGGGAATCCTTTCCTGAGGAAGGAACTCAGATAAAATGAATGTAAGTGTCAAGCTTTAACACCAGAAGGGTCAATTTCTATGTTTATCAAAAACAAACAAATGAAAACAAAACTGTCCATGGGACTCTTGGATTGGCTTCATGGCTATGAATACAAAAAAAAAAAAAGTGAATGCTGATGAGAATGTAAAGAAAGGGGAACTCTTTTGCACTGTTAATGGGAATGTAAATTAGTACAACCATTATGGAAAACAGTAAGGGGATGTCTCAAAAAACTAAAAATAGAACTACCATGTGAGCCTGCAATCCCATTACTGGGTGTATATCCAAAGGAAATGAAACTTTATGTTGAAGAGATTTATACCATCGCTTGTTTATTGTAGCATTATTAACAATAGCCAATATATGAAATCAACGTAAAAGCCTATCTACTGATTAATGGATTTAAAAATGTGATATATATACAAAACAAAATATTCTTCAGCCATATGAAACAATGAAATTCTGTCATTTGCAGCGACGTGGATGAAGCTGGAGGGCATTGTTAAGTGAAATAAGCCAGGCAGTGAGACACAAATGATCTCAACTCACGTGGGATCAACAAAGTTGATTTCATAGAAGTTAAGTAGAATAGTGATTACTAGAGTTTTGAGGTGAGGGTACTGTATTAGTCCATTTTCATGTTGCTGTTAAAGACATACCCAAGACTGGGAAGAGAAAGAGTTTTAATTGGACTTACAGTTCCACATGGCTGGGGAGGCCTCAGAATCATGGCAGGAGGCAAAAGGCACTTCTTACATGGCAGCAGAGAGAGAAAATGAGGAAGAAACAAAAGTGGAAGCCCCTGATAAACCCATCAGATCTCAGGAGACTTATTCACTATCACGAGAATAGCATGGGAAAGACCAGCCTCCATGATTCAATTACCTTTCCCTGGGTCCCTCCCACAACATGTGGGAATTCTGGGAGATACAATTCAAGTTGAGATCTGAGTAGGGACACAGCCAAACCACATCATTCCACCCCTGGTCCCTCCCAAATCTCATGTCTTCACATTTCAAAACCAATCATGCCTTCCCAACAGTCCCCCAAAGTCTTAACTCATTTCAGCATTAACTCAGAAGTCCACAGCCCAAAGTTTCATTTGAGACAAGGCAAGTCACTTCTGCCTATGAGCCTGTAAAATCAAAAGCAAGCTAGTTACTTCCTAGATACAATGGAGGTACAGGCATTGGGTAAATACAGCCATTCCAAATGGGAGAAATTGGCCAAAACAAAGGGGTTACAGGGCCCATGTAAGTTTGAAATCCAGCAGGGCAGTCACATTTTAAAGCTCCAAAATGATCTCTTTGACCCCAGGTCTCACATCCAGGTCACACTGTTGCAAGAGGTGGGCTCCCATGGTCTTGGGCAGCTCCACCCTTATGGCTTTGCAGGGTATAGCCTCCCTCCTGGCTACTTTCATGGGCTGGCATTGAGTGCCTGTGGCTTTTCCAGGTGCATGGTACAAGCTGTTGGTGGATCTACCATTCTGGGGTCTGGAGGACGGTGGACCTCTTCTCATAGCTCCACTAGGCAGTGCCCCAGTAGGGACTCTGTGTACGGGCTCTGACCCCACATTTCCCTTCCACACTGTCCTAGCAGAGGTTCCCTAACCCTGCAGCAAACTTTTTCCTGAGCATCCAGTGTTTCCATACATCTTTTGAAATCTAAGTGGAGGGTCCCAAACCTCAATTATTGACTTCTGTGCACCTGCATGCTCAGCACCACATGGAAGCTGCCAAGACTTGGTGCTTCCACCCTCTGAAGCCACAGCCCGAGCTCTATGTTGGCCCCTTTCAGCCATGGCTAGAGCAGCTGGGGCACAGGGCACCATGTCCCTAGGCTGCACACAGCACAGTGACCCTGGGCGCAGTCCATGAAACCACTTTTTCTTCCCGGGGCTCCAGACCTGTGATGGGAGGGGCTGCCGTGAAGGTCTCTGACATGGCCTGGAGACATTCTGTCATGGCTTGGGGATTAACATTAGGCTTCTTACTAATGCAAATTTCTGCAGTCAGCTTCAATTTCTCTTCAAAAAATGGGTTTTTCTTTTCTACTGCATCATCAGGCTGCAAATTTTCTGAACTTTTATGATCTGTTTCCCTTTTAAAACAGAATGCTTTTAACAGCAGTCAAGTCACCTTTGGAATGGTTTGCTGCTTAGAAATTTCTTCCACTAGATACCCCCAAATCATCTCTCTCAAGTTCAAAATTCCACAAATCTCTAGGGCAGGGACAAAATGCCACCAGTCTCTTTGCTAAAACATAACAAAAGTCATCTTTGCTCCAGTTCCCAACACATTTCTCATCTCCATCCAAGATCACCTCAACCTGGACCTTATTGTTCATATCACTATCAGCATTTTTGTCAAAGCCATTCAACAAGTCTCTAGGAGGTTCCAAACTTTCCCACATTTTCCTGTCTTCTTCTGAGCTTTCCAAACTGTTCCAATCTCTGCTGGTTCTAAAGTTGCTTCCACATTTTCAGGTATCTTTCAGCAATACCCCACTCCTGGTACCAATTTACTGTATTAGTCCGTTTACACACTGCTGATGAAGACATACCTGAGACTGGGAAGAAAAAGAGGTTTAATTGGACTTACAGTTCCACATGGCTGGGGAGGCCTCAGAATCATGGCAGAAGGCGAAAGGCAATTCTTACATGGCGGTGGCAAGAGAAAATGAGGAAGAAGCAAAAGTAGAAACCCCTGATAAACCCATTAGACCTCATGAGACTTATTCACTATCATGAGAATAGCACAGGAAAGACCAGCCCCCATTATTCAATTACCTCCCCACTGGGTCCCTCCCACAACACATGAGAATTCTGAGAGATACAATTCAAGTTGAGATTTGGGTGGGACACAGCCAAACCATATCAGGTACCAAGATACATTGGTAAACGAGTACAATGTTACAATTAGATAGGAAGTTATAGTGTTCTACTACACTGTAGGGTGACTATAGAAAATAAAAATGTATATTTCAAGATAGCTGGAAGAGAAGACTATGAATTTTACCACCACAAAGAAGTGATAAACATTTAAAGTGATAGGTACAGTAATTACCCTGATTTAATCATTTTATTCAACGTTTACATGCAATGGAGAATCACACTGTACCCCATAAACATGTACAATTATTGTGTATAGATTATAAATAATAAAAATGAATAATACAAAAAAAGAATACTTAATTTTCTGGGTCCCTAGGACATTTGACATAGTTTGGAGTGAGCCTAAGAGCAACATCTGTCAGAGTTCCAAAAGGTAAATTTCAGACCTGCTCTCTGTTATGGAGGGTGGAAAAGCTGCTAAGAGATAACTAGAGTTGCACCACCAAAAATGACAAGGCTACCAAGTCTGTGGTCCAAGGACCTTACCCTTAGAGCTATTCAAATACCGATGAGCTGGTAGGTCTGAGAAGAGGAACAGTACGTAAGGCAAACATTTACCAATTGCTATGATTAAATATACCAAGTTTATGAAAACCTAAGGTAAGTGAAATATTCTCATGGCTCTGGGCCAGTGTGAGTTTGGGACATTCTATAAAATAGCATTTCTACTTTTCCTGACATCTACCCTGAAATTGTAGAAAGAAGTGGAGGGGTGAAGAAATATTTGAAGATGGAGTAGAAATTTCTTGAAAAAAGTGACTTTTGCTTTTAGATCTGAAGAGAGAGATAGGTGCTACAAGTATGAAGGTGCTGCAAAAAGAAAATATTTTGCTCCCTGGAAAAAAACTTTCCTGTTACTCAGAACTCCATACAAACTGTGTCAAAAGCCAGTGACGATTTTGGTCCCTTAATTTTTTTCTGAAATTACTCTGGAAAACTCATCACTTACCTCTACAGTGTTAAATTTATGAATTCCTATTCCTCTTTTTTTTTTGCTTTTTAAATTGATATTTGATTTTCTTTTTTTAACTTACTCCTTTCATTTCTAAAATGTTTTTATCTGTTTTGATTTTTAGCCCTATGTCTAATCTCTCCAAGAGTTTTTTCTCACTTTGCTTTATTACCATCCACTTATTTGTTTATTAATGTTTACTCACTCTTGACTTCTATCTCTTTTCACTTCATACCAGTAGTTCATAACTAAGTGTGTAGATTATTCTACTTGGAGAGATTTTCCAAATACTCATTGCATAGCACCAATTCTAAAGATTCTTATTCAGTAGGACATTTCTCTGATAACATCAGTTATTCTTTGGGTACAAATATTTGTATTGACTAATGATTCAAATATACAAATATAAAGCTCAATATTTTAACCGAATTCTTATGCCTAATGAACTTGAGAGTAGGTTCATGATGAACTGAACACAGATGACCAATTCTCCATGAGTATTTTATGCAACTTTATATTTTTTTCCTTTTAGATTCAGTGTGCGGATGTGCAGGTTCATTACATGCATACATTGTGTAATGGTGAGGTTTGGGCTTCTAGTGAACCTACCACCTAAATAGTGAACATTGTACCCAACAAATAGTTTTTCAACCCTCATTCACCTCCACTGTCCTTGCTTTTGGAGTCTCCAGTGTCTATTATTTCTGTTTTTGTGTTCACATGTACCCATGGTTTAGGACCCACTTATAGGTAAGAACATGCAGTATTTGATTTTCTATTTCTGAGTTATTTCACTAAGGATAATGGCTTCAAGCTCCATCCATGTTGCTGCAAAGGACGTGATTTCATTTTTTGACTGTAAAGTATTCCATGGTGTGTGCGTATGTATTCAGTCCACCATTGATGGACACTTAGGTTGATTCCATGAGCAAATTCATTTTTTGAATTCCAGGGCAAAGGAAGAAGCCTACTTAAACAGATATAGCACACATCATGCAGGACATCTGTGTGGACCACCAAAGGGAAACCTATAAACTTGCCTGCTTCACCAGAATTATAGTTAAGAACAAAGACAAGTTTCGGAGGATGCTCTTACCCAGGATAATTGAGATGAGCCATCCTAACATTTTAGAATTTCCAACAATTTAAAATCCATCTGATGTTGGTTATCATATATCATCTTAGGTGGGTCCAACAATTTTCCTGGGCAGTAGAGTCTGTCCTCTATGTGATAACTAGATATCCAGGCTTCTTTAGTCTTGTGGCTCCATATTCTCACCACAAGATCCCACAGTTGCCAACAAAATGGAAGGAAGTGTGAAAAACTCATAATCTGCTCACTAACTGCCTCTAACCAGCAGTGATACAACAAGTAGTTTATTCTCATGGTCCATTGACCCAATCTAGTCACATAGTCCTAACTGCAAAGGAGGCTGGAAAACATCAAGATAACCTATAGAATATTTGGTGAGTGCTACTTCCCTCTCACACTGTGAAATAGAAACTATGAAGGTTGTACCATCTGTGACTAGGTATAGGCATGTCGTAGTTCCCATATTGGAATGAACATCTTCTAAATCACTCTGTGACAGGACTGTGATCATTTATTTGGCAAATGCATCCCAACTCCTTTCCTCCTTATTGAAGTACCCTTGTTATCTAGGATGGATGAAACAAGTTCCTGTAGACTCAGTTTGCTAGTTTTCAGGTTGGATGTCAAATAAATCTCTGAGTTACATCAATGTTGGAACAGCGTTGTCACTGCGCTGACAAAGACTAGAGCCATTTTTAAAGCCTGGAAATTCTGGAAGCAGGTATGCATATCAATTGATTCGGAAAAGCATTCACAAACACTAAACTAACTGGGAATAAAAGAAAAATGCCTTCATATGATAAAAGCCATAGACGAAAAACCCGTAGTTAACATAATCGTCAATGGTGAAAGTTTGTAAGATTTTTCTCTAAGATCAGAAGCAAGATAAAGATGCCTGCTTTTGCATAATCTGAGTGGTATGGGTGGCACCATGGGAGTGCCACTTGGAGATCTCCCACTACAAGGAGCATAAACAATAAACGGTCTGAGCAGCTGCAGGCTGAAATGCATCAGTGCATTTTTGTGAAGTCCACACTTCCCATGGTGTGCTCCCAACCACTGATGGAAAATGATGGAGATCCTAAGGAAGGCATTCCTAGGAGACCTGAGATTCCCCTGACAGTGGATCTAGCTTGAGGACTCTCCAACAGCTTTGTGAAAACTTCCTGGCAGTGCATGGGCCTTCTTTAAGCTGCATAAAGCCAAGACAGCTTCCATCCAGCTTTCTCTCCTTCTCTTTTTTACTTCAGTGTCTGGCAGCTTTCTCAGGCTTTTCATCTTTCTTTCCTTTTTTTCTTTTTTTGCAAGGGCTGTTTCTCCTGATAAAATTCTGGAACATTTAATACTGTCTTGGTGTCTATTTCTCGGAAGATCCAAACTAAAACAAGTGATAATGAGACTATTATAAGTATACAGGGGGTAAGATGTGAATTTGTCTTGGCTTAACTAACCCTGCAACTGACAGAGGACATGATCCTGGTTGGGAGGTGGGGCACAGATAGTCCCTGCCATGAGGTGACAGTAGAATTCTAAAAATTTTTTGGCAACTGAGAAAAATGTTCCAATAGAGACAAATTTGACAGATGCAATAAAGCAGACATTTAAAGTCAGTGAAGTTTGGCCAGGTGCGGTGACTCACTCCTGTAATCCCAGCACTTTGGGAGGCCGAGGTGGGCAGATCACCTGAGGCCAGGAGTTCGAGAACAGCCTGGCCAATGTAGTGAAACACTGTCTCTACTAAAAATACAAAAATTAGCTGGGCGTGATTGCGGCCGCCTGTATTCCCAGCTACTCGGGAGGCTGAGTCATGAGAATTGCTTGAAACCGGGAAGTGAAGGTTGCAGTGAGCCGATATCACACCACTGCACTCCAGCCTGGGTGACAGAGGGAAACTCTGTTTCAAAAATAAATAAATAGATAAATAAATAAAAAAGTCAGTGGCTTTAGCTGGTTGCCGCTAAGTTTCATTGATTATTGATGCCATGCACAAGGATAATGAGAGATTGAAGGCTGTTAACAAGCAATTACTGGCTATGATTGAGACCCAGAGAATCTCAGTGGTAGCTTACAAAGAGGCCTTAATCAGTCATAGTTAGACAGCAGATAGGAGAATGGCAGGTGGGAGTTCTGTTTGCTGCAGTAGCAAGCTCTAGAGAATCTAAACACTCAGCCAAAAGAGCTTTGTTGTGCTAAGGTTTCAACATTGTAGGGAAAATTTGGAATCCTGAGAACTGGAAAGAGGACTTCTGGATGTATGCCTCTGAGGATATTGACTTTACAAAACCCACTTCTACTGGGCTCATTGGGTTTGCAGAATGGCCCAGTTTTGCATTTCCACAGGGATTGTAGATGCTGCAGAGCATGTTAGAATCCTGTGTCCAGGGATCAAATAACAAACAAATGAACAAACAAACAAAACAAAGAACAATCACTGTACTGTTAAGGAAAATTGACTCTAATCAGCAGGATGAGGTAAGGGTGTTTTACCCAATGGAGGCAGCAGAGAGTATAGGTGGAACCCAAATGATCTATTTGGGATTATTGCACTGTAACTATGAATGGACATGTGCAACCCTGGCATGAGAAAAGTATGACGATTCATGGTGCAAGCACTTCACGATAAAGGCTTGATTACACATTCGTTAAGGCATGGAGCCAGGCCATGTGAGACCTGAGCAGGAGGGTTGTTCAGAATGTGCAGTAGGTATTAGGGGCTAATTTATAACAAATAGTAAGATACTATTTTCCCGTAAAGTTTAGATACATCTTTTTTTAAAAACCCTTTATGTTACCTAAAATCAGGAATGTACTAAAATGTAGATTTGTTGTATAAATCCATTTTTCAATATAAGATTCATTAGGTCTAGAGTTCTAGATCCATGAAACCCTTGCATTTTAGTTTTCTAGTTTGTTATTTTGAAGCTAACAAATAAGCTACACCATTATAAATTTCGAGTTGAGCATAAGCAATTGAATCCAAGAACTTCAAGTTCTGTATTAAGTACATTTGATGTGAAATCTAACTTGCTGCAAAACAAGGGGTTGGTGGTGGAAAATGCAACTTCTGGCATGTGTTTTTATAGATGTAATACATCTATGGGTCTTTAAATAACTTTATTGAGATATGTTTTACATATCCTAAAATTTACCTACTTCAACTGTACAATTCAATATTTTTAACAACTTGTGCTGTGGCCATCATCATAAATCACTTTAGGCCATTTTCATCATCACCCCATAAAATCTCTCTTGTCAATTTACAGATAATCCCTGTTTCCAACCATAGCCCCAGGCAACAATTAATTTATGTTCTGTCTCTATAAACTTGCATTTTCACTACATTTCATACAAGTGGAATCAAAATCCCTTATTTCTGCCTGAGTTTTTAGAGTTGAACAAGGCTGGAGAAAATTATTCTCACATAATTCATTAACATCTCCACTTAATTCAGGCTCACTACACTTGCATTGGCCTTAATGCCTCTACAATTCCATTAGATATGCTCTTTGTTAAATTTTTGGTAACTTTCATGTTTCTAAATGCAATGGTTATTTCTTTTTATCTATTATTTTAGGTCCGAGGGGCACATGTGCAGGTTTGGTTATGTTGGTAAATAGTGTGCCACTGATGTTTGGTGTATGAATGATCCCATCATCCAGGTAGTGAACATAGTACCTGATAGTTTTTCAATCTTCTCCCACTTCCTGACATCCCTCCTCTAATAGTCCCCACTTTGTGTTGTGCCCATCCTTATGTCCTTGTGTACCCAAAGTTCAGTTACTACTTATAAATGAGAACATGTGGTATTTGGTTTTCTGTTCCTGCATTAATTCACTAAGATAATGGCCTCCAGCTGCATCCATGCAAAGGGCATGATTTCATTTTTCTTTTATGGCTGCGTAGCATTCCATGGTGCATATGTACACATTTTCTTTATTCAATCCACCATTGATGGGCACCTAGATTGATTCCATTTCTTTGCTGTTGTGATTCCATGTCATTGCTATGTTGCAATGAACATGTAAGTACATGTGTCTTTTTGGTAGAATGATTTATTTCTCTTTGGGTATATACATAGCAATGGGATTGCTGGGTCGAATGGTAACTCTCAGTTCTTTGAAAGATTTTTAAATTGCTTTCCACTGTGGCTGAACTAATTTAAATTCCCAACAACAGTGTATGAGTGTTCCCTATTCTCTGGAACCTTACCAACATCTGTTATCTTTTGACATTTGAATAATAACCATTCTGACTGGTGGGAGATAGTATCTCATTGTGGTTTTGAGTAGCATTTCTCTAATGATTAGCGATGTTAAGCATTTTTTATATATTTATTGGCCACATGTATGTCTTATTTCAAGAAGCGTCTGTTCATATCCCTTGCCCAATTTAAATGGGGTTATTTTTTGCCTGTGAATTGTTTAGGTTCCTTACAGATTTTGTATATTACACCATTGTCAGATGCATAATTTGTGAATATTTTCTCCCATTATGTAGGTTGTTTACTCTTTAGTTACTTTAGCTATGCAGAAGCTCTTTAGTTTAATTAGGTCCCACTTGCCAATTTTTGGTTTTTGCTGCAATTGCTTTTGAGGACTTAGTCATAAATTATTTCCCAAAGCTGATGTCCACAATAGTATTTCCTAGGTTTTCTTCTCATATTTTTGTGGTTTTAGGTCCTGAATTTAATATTTTAACCCATCTTGAGTTAATTTTTGTATATGGCAAATGGAAGGGGACCAGTTTCAATATTGTGCATATGTCTAGTCAGTTATCTCAGCACTGTTTATTGAATAGGGAGTCCTTTCACCATTGTCTGTTATTGTTGACTTTGTCAAATATCAGATAGTCATAGGTTTGTGGCTTTATTTCTGGATCCTCTAACCGTTTCCATTGGTCTACCTATCTGTTTTTGTACCAGTACCATGGTGTTTTGATTACTGTAGCCTTGCAATATAGTTTAAAGTTGGGTACTGTGACACTTCTGGCTTTGTTCCTTTTGCTTAGGATTGCTTTGGCTATTCAGGCCTTTTTTTTTGTTCCACATTAATTTTAGAATAATTTCTTTCTAATTCTGTGAAACATAACACTTGTAGTTTGACAGGAATACTACTGAATGTGCAAGTCATTTTGGGCAGTATCGTCATTTTAACAATATTGATTATTCCTATCCATGATCATGGAAAGTTTTTCCATTTGTTTGTGCCATCTCTGATTTCTTTTTGTAATGTTTTGTAGTTCTTACTGTAGAGAACTTTGTCCATTCTAGTTAGCTGTAGTCCTAGAGATATTTTTTTCTCTTTGTGAGTATTGTAAATGAGATTGCCTTCTTGATTTTACTCTCAGCTTGAATACTATTGGCATATCAAAATACTACTGATTTTTGTACATTAATTTTGTATCCTAAAATTTTACTTATGTTGTTTATCTGTTCTAGGAGCCCTTGGCGGAGTCTTTAGGGTTTAGGTACAGAATCATGTTGCCTGCAAAGAGAGATAGTTGAACTTTCTCTATTTCTATTTGGATGCCTTTAATTTCTTTGTCTTACCTGATTGCTCTGGCTAGGATTTCTAGTACTGTGTTGGATAAGAGTGGTGAGAGTGGGCATCCCTGACTTGTTCCAGTAATTAAAAGGAATGCTTCCAGCTTTTGCCACTTCAGTATGATGTTGGCTGTGAGTTTGTCATAGATGGCTCTTACTATTTTGAGGTATTTTCCTTTAATGTGTAATTTGTTGAAAGTTTTTAACATAGAGGAATGGTTGAATTTTATTGAAATTCTTTTCTGTGTCTATTAAGATGGCAACATGATTTTTGTTTTTAATTATGTTTATGTGGTGAATCCCCTTTATTGATTTGCATATGTTGAGCCAACCTTGCATCCCTGGAATAAAGCCTACTCAATTGTGGTGAATTAACTTTTTGATTTGCTGGTGGATTTTGTTTGCTAGTATTTTATTGAGGAGTCTTGCATCTATGTTCCTTAGAGATATCGGCCTGAAATTTTCTTTTTTGTTGTGTCTCTGCCAGGTTTTGGTATCAGAATAATGCTGGCTTCATAGAATAAGTTAGGAAGTTGCTCCACCTCCTCAGTTGTCTGGAATAATTTTGATGGGATTTGTACTGCCTTGTCTTTGTATGTCTGGTAGAATTCAGCTGTGAATCTGTCTGGTCCAGGTCTTTTTCTGATAGGTAGGTTTTTTATTAGTGATTCAATTTCAAAGCTCGTTATTGGTGGGTGGGAGTCGGGGCCAAGATGGCTGACTAGAAGCAGTGGCAATCAGAGGCTCTCATCGAAAAGATCCAAAAGAGCATGCAAATCCTGCACTGGTAACTGAGGTATCCAGATCCTGTTATTAGGACTGACTAGGTGACTGGTATGACCCATGGAGAAAAAGGAAGAAGAGTGTGGTGCAGCAGCCCATCAGAGAGCCATACAGGGCAGGGGAGCCCCCACTCCCAGCCAAGGGAGGCAGCGAGTGAGCATGATACCCAGCCTGGGAAACCATGCTCTTTCCATGGAAATGTGCAACCCATGGATTGGAAAATCCCACTTGGGAGCCCATGCCACTGGAGCCTTGGGTCCCAACCATGGAGCCATGCAGATTATCAACATCTTCTAGGCTAGGATCAGCCTAAGCCTGAGTTCCCATGGGGAACACTGCTGTGGCTGCCTGCAGTCTAAGCCATCTGAGCTCCTTGGGGGAGGGGTGGGAGCCAACACTGTGGCTGCAGTGCGTCCCTGCAGGAACTCCAACTCCAGTCAGGGGCTTAGGGACAGAACTATGATCTCTCTGGGCCTGAGCCGCCTTGGGGAAAGGTGGCCATATGCTCCATGGACCAGCAGAGTTAGTCTTTTCTCCTGCTAGATCTGAGGAATCTGGGCAGCCCAGATGAGTGGGTTTTCCCCCAGCACAGCACACTCTTTCCACCAAGGGACAGCCAAAGTGCCTCATTAAATAGGCCCTGCTTCCCATGCCACTCAACTGGGTGAGACCCCCCCAACAGGGATTGTCAGACAACTCATACAAGGGTGTTCCTACTGGCATTAGGTCAGTGCCCCTCGAGGTCAGGGATCCCAGAGAAAGGAGCAGGTAACCATTTTTGCTGTTCTCCAGCCTCTTCGAGTGACATCTCTAGGTATGGGAGCAAACCAGATGAATAGGGCCTGAAGTGAAACCCCAGAAAACTGCAGCAGCCTTAGAGAAGAGAGACCTGACTATTGAAAGAAACAACAACAACAACAACAACAAAAACAAACACAAAACAACAACAGCAGCATCATCAACAAAAAACGTCTCCGCAAAAACCTCATCCAAGTGTCATCTGAGGACAGCCTCAAAGATCGAAACTAGACAAATTCTTGAAGATGAGAAAGAATCAATAAAAGAACATTGAAAACCAAAAGGTCAGAGTGGCTTGTCTCCTCCAGATGATCACAGCACCTCTCCAGCAAGGCTCCAGAACTGGACAGAGGGTGAGATGGACTAATTGACAGAAGTAGGCTTCAGAAGGTGGGTAATAACAAACTTCACTGAGGTAAGCAGCATGCTCTAACCCAATTCAAAGAAGCTAAGAACCTTGATAAAAGGTTAGAGGAGCTGTTAACTAGAATAACTAGTTTAGAGAGAAACATAAATGGCCTGATGGAGCTGAAAAACACAGCATGAGCACTTCATGAAGCATACACAGGTATCAATAGCCAAATCAAGCAAGCAGAAGAAAGAATATCAGAGATGGAAGACTATATTGCTGAAATAAGGCAGGTAGAAAAGATTAGAGAAGAATGAAAAGGAATGAAGAAAACCTTCAAGAAATATGGGACTATGTAAAAAGACCAAGCCTACGACTGATTGGAGTACCTGAAAGAGACAGGGATAATGGAACCAAGCTGGAAAACACACTTTAAAATATTAACCAGAAGCACTTCCAGCCTAGCAAGAAGGCCAACATTCAAATTCAGGAAAAACAGAGAACCCCATTAAGATACTCTACAAGAAAATCAAGCCCAAGACATGTAATTATCAGGTTCTCCAATGTCAAAATGAAGGAAAAAAATATTAAGGGCAGCCAGAGAGAAAGGCCAGGTCACCTACAAAGGGAAGCCCATCAGACTAACAGTGGATGTCTCAGCAGAAACCTTACAAGCCAGAAGAAAGTGGGGACCAATATTCAACATTTTTAAAGAAAAGAATTTTCAACCCAGAATTTCATATCCAGCCAAACTAAGCTTCGTAAGTGAAAGAGAAATAAAATCCTTTTCAGACAAGCAAATACTGAGGGAATTCATCACCACAAGATCTTCCTTGCAAGAACTCCTGAAGGAGGAGCTAAATATGGAAAGGAAAAACTGGTACCAGCCATTGCAAAACACATGAAGATATAAAAACCAATGATACTATGAAGAAATGACATCAACTAGTGTGCAAAATAACCAGCTAGCTTCATGATGAGAGGATCAAATTCACACATAACAATATTAACCTTAAATGTAAATGAGCTAAACACCCCAATTAAAAGACAGACTCAAAAACTGGATAAAGAGTCAAGACCCATTGGTGTGCTGTATTCAAGAGACCCATCTCATGTGCAAAGACACACATAGGGTCAAAATAAAGAGATGGAGGAATATTTACCAAGAAAATGGAGAGCAGAAAAAAGCAGGAGTTGCCATCCTACTCTCTGACAAAACAGACTTTAAACCAACTAAGTTAGAAAAAGACAAAAAAGGGCATTACATAATGGTAAAGGGATCAATTCAACAAGAAGAGCTAACTACCCTAAATATGTATGCACCCAATACAGGAGCACCCAGATTCATAAAACAAGTTCTTACAGACCTGCAAAGAGACTTAGACTCCCATGCAAGAATAGTGGGAGATTTTAACACCTCACTCTCAATATTAGACAGATCAATGAGACAGAAAATTAACAAGGATATGCAGGAGTTGAACTCAGCTCTGAATCAAGTGGGCCTAATAGATATCTACAGAACTCTCCACCCCAAAGCAACAGAATATACATTCTTCTCAGTGCCACATGACACTTATTCTAAAATCCACCACAGAATTGGAAGATTCTGCAAATTCAAAGAACTGAAATTATAACAGTTTCTCAGATGACAGTGCAATCAAATTAGAACTTAGGATTAAGACACTCAAAACCACACAACTACATGTAAGTTGAACAACCTGTTCCTGAATGACTCCAGGTGAAATAATGAAATTAAGGCAGAAATCAAGAAGTTCTTTGAAACCAATGAGAACAAAGAGACAATATACCAGAATCCCTTGGACACAGCTAAAGCAGTTTTAAGAGGGAAATGTATAACACTAAATGCCCACACCAGAAAGCTAGAAAGATCTCAAATTGACACCATAATTAAAGAATTAGAGAAGCAGGAGCAAACAAATCCAAAGGCAGCAGAAGACAAGAAATAAATAAGATCAGAGCTGAACTGAAGGAGAGAGATGAAAAACCCTTCCAAAAAATCCATAGCTCCAGGAGCTGTTTTTTTTTTTTGAAAAAATTAATAAAATAGACTGCTAGGTAGATTAATAAAGAAGAAAAGAGAGAAGAATCAAATAGACACAATAAAAAATGATAAAGGGAATATCACTGCTGACCCCACAGAAATACAAACTACTATCAGAAAATACTATACACTACTCTATTCAAATCAATTAGAAAATCTACAGGAAATGAATACATTCCTGGACACATACACCCTTCCAAGACTAAACCAGGAAGAAGTCCAGTCCCTGAATAGACCAATAACAAGTTCTGAAATTGAAGCAGTAATAAATAGCCTACCAACGAAAAAAAGCCTGGAACCAGACAGATTCAAAGCCAAATTCTACCAGAGGTACAAAGAGGAGCTGGTTACCATTCCTTCAGAAATGATTCCAAACAATTGGAATCATAGGTGGGACTCCTCCCTAATTCATTTTATGAGGCCAGCATCATCTTGATACCAAAACTTGACAGAGATACAACAAAAAAAGAAAATTCAGGCCAATATCCCTGATGAATATTGGTGCAAACGTCCTTGATAAAATACTGGCAAACCGAATCCAGCAGCACATCAAAAAGCTTATCCACCATGATCAAGTTGGCTTCCTCCCTGGGATGCAAGGTTGGTTCAACATATGCAAATCAATAAATGTAATTCATTACATAAACCGAACCAATGACAAAAATCCCATGATTATCTCAACAGATGCAGGAAAGACCTTCAATAAAATTCAACATCCCTTCATGTTAAAAACTCTCAATAAACTAGGTATTGATGAAACACACCTAAAAATAATAAGAGTCATATATGACAAACCCACAGCCAATATCATACTTAATGGGCAAAAGCTGGAAGCATTCCCTCTGAAATCCTGCATCCTATTCAACATAGTATTGGAAGTTCTGGCCAGGGCCATCAAGAAAGAGAAGGAAATAAAGGTATTCAAATAGGAAGATAGGAAGTAAAATTGTCTCTGTTTTCAGACAACATGATCCTATATTTAGAAAACCCCATCATTTCAGCCCCAAAACTCCTTAAGCTGATAAGCAACTTCAGCAAAATCTCAGGATACAAAATCAATGTGCAAAAATCACAAGCATTCCTATACACAAACAATTGAAAAGCAGAGGGCCAAATTATGAATGAACTCCCATTACAACTGCTACAAAGAGAATAAAGTACCTAGGAATACAGCTAGCAGGAGATGTGAAGGACCTCTTCAAGGAAAACTACAAACCGCTGCTCAAGGAAATAAGAGAAGACACAAACAAATGGAAAAACATTCCATCCTCATGGATAGGAAGGATCAATATTGTGAAAATGGCCATACTGCCCAAAGTAATTTATAGATTCAATGGTATTTCCATCAAACTACCATTTACATTCTTCACAGAATTAGAAAAGCTACTTTAAAATTCATATGGAACCATAAAAAAAGCCCACATAGCCAAGACAATACTAAGCAAAAAGAACAAAGCTGAGGCATCCTGCTACCTGACTTCAAACTATACTACAAGGCTGCAGTAACCAAAACAGCATGGTACTGGTACCAAAACAAACATATAGACCAATGTAACAGAATAGAGACCTCAGAAATGAAACCACACATCTATAACCGTCTGATTTTCTACAAACCTGGCAAAAAAAAGAAGGAATGGGGAAAGGAGTCCCTATTTATTACATGGTGCTGGGAAAATTGGCTAGCCATATGCAGAAAACTGAAACTGGACCCCTTCCTTACACCTTATACAAAAATATACTCAAGATGGATTAAAGTCTTAAATGTAAAACCCAAAACCATAAGAACCCCTGAGGAAAACCTAGATAATACCCTTCAGGACATAGGCATGGGCAAAGATTTTATTCTGAAATTGCCAAGAGGAATTGCAACAAAAGATAAAATTGACAAATAGTATCTAATTAAACCAAAGAACTGCACAGCGAAAGAAACTATCATCAGAGCAAAAAGGCAATCCATTGAATGGGAGAAAATTTTTGCAGTCCACCCATCTGACAAAGGTCTAATATTCAGAATTTATAAGGAATTTAAACAAATTTACGAGAAAGAAACAATCCCATGAAAAAGTGCTTAAAGGATATGAACAGACCCTTCTCAAAAGAAGACATTTATGTGGCCAACAAACATATGAAAAAAAGCTCAACATCACTGATCATTAGAGAAATGCAAATCAAAACCACAATGAGATACTATCTCATGCCAGTCTGAATGGCGATTATTAAAAAGTCAAGAAACAACAGATGCTGCTGTGGCTGTGGAGAAATAGGAACGCTTTTACATTGTTGGCGGGAATGTAAATTAGTTCAATCATTGTGGAAGACTGTGTGACAATTCCTCAAGAATCTAGAACCAGAAATACCATTTTACCCAGCAATTCCATTACTGGGTATATACCCAAAGGAATATAATTTATTGTATTATAAAAATACATGCACACATATGTTTATTGCAGCACTATTCACAATAGCAAAGACATGGAACCAGCCCAAATGCCTATCAGTGATAGACTGGATAAAGAAAATGTGGTACATATACAATATGGAATACTATGCAGCCACAAAAAGAATGAGATGATGTTTTTTGCAGGGACATGGATGAAGCTGAAAGCCATCATCCACAGCAAACTAACACAGGAATAGAAAACCAATCACCGCATGTTCTCATTCATAAGTGGGAGTTGAATAATGAGAACACATGGACACAGGGAGGGGAACAACACACACCAGGGTCTTTGATGGGAGGTAAAGGAAGGGAGAGCATCAGGACAAATAGCTAATGTGTGCAGGGCTTAAAACCTAGGTGATGGGTTGATAGGTGCAGCATACCACCATGTCACACGAATACCTATGTAGCAAACCTGCACCTTCTATACTTGTATTCTGGACCTTAAAATAAAAACAAAACAAAAACAGTAAAAAAGAAAGAAAAAAGCTCATTATTGTTCTGTTGAGGGTTTCAATTTCTTCCTGGTTCAATCTTGGGAAGTTGTGCATTTCTAGTAATTTATCCATTTCTTATATATTTTCTGGTTTGTTTCCATAGAGGTGTTCATAATAGTCTCTTAGGATATTTTGTATTTCTGTAGGGTTGGTTGTAAAACTACCTTTGTCATTTCTGATTGCGTTATTTAGATCTTCTCTTTTTTTTCTCTTTGTTAACCTAGCTAGCAATGTATCAATCATGTTTATTCTTTAAAGAACCAACTCTGGGTTTCAATGATTTTATTTTTTCCCTTTCCCTTTCCCTTCCCTTCCCTTCCCTCCCCTCCCCTCCCCCTCCCCCCTCCCCTCCCCTCCCCCTCTCCCCTCCCCTCCCCTCCCCTCCCCTCCCTTTCCCTTCCCTTCCCTTCCCTTCCTTCCCTTCACAGAGTATTGCTCTGTTATTCAGGTTGGATGGAGTGCAGTGGCAAGATCTTGGCTCACTGCAACCTCTGCCTCCCTCGTTCAAGCAATTCTCATGCCTCAGCTTCCTGAGTAGCTGGGATTACAAGCACATATCACCACACCTGGCTAATTTTTGTATTTTTAGTAGAGACAAGGTTTCTCCAGATTTGCCAGGATGGTCTCAAACTCCTGGCCTCAAGTAATCTGCCTGTCTTGGCCTCCCAAAGTGCTGGGGTTACAGACCTGAGCAACCGTAACTGGACTTTCATTGATTTTTTTTTTTTTTTGATGTATGTTCTCATTTTCAATTTTGTTCAGTTCTGCTCTGATTTTGGATACTTTTTTTTTTTCTGCTAGCTTTGGGGGCAGATTGCTCTTGTTTTTCTAGTTCCTTCAGCTGTGATGTTAGGTTGTTAATTTGAGATCTTTCTAACTTCTCGATGGTAGATGTTTAACACTATAAACTCTCTGCTTAACATTACTTAAGCTGTGTCCCAAAGATACCAAGTATGTTGTGTTTCTCTCTTCATTTATTTCAAATAATTTTTAAAATTTCTGCATTAATTTTCTTGTTTGCCCAAAAGTCATTCAGGAGCAAATTGTTTAATTTCTGTGTAATTGTTTGGTTTTGAGAGATCTTGGTATTGATTTATATTTTTATTGCTTGGTATGATTTCAATTTTTGTGGATTATTTGAGACTTACTTTATGACCAAGCATGTGATTGATCTTAGAGTAAGTTCTGTGTGCAGATGAGAAGAGTGTATGTTCTGTTGCTGTTGGGTGGTGTATTCTGTTGATGTCTATTCGATCCAACGGATCCAGTGCTGAGTTTAAGTGCAGAACTTCTTTGTTAGTTTTCTGCCTTAATATTTTGTGAAATGCTGTCAGGGGGATGTTGAAGTCCCTCACTATTCTTGTATGGCTTTCTAAACCTTTTTGTAGATCTAGAAAAACTTCTTTTTTATGTATCTAGTGCTCCAATGTCAGGTATGTATAAATTGAGAGCAGTTACATCTTCTTGCTGAATAGAAGCAATGGTTATTTCTTAGTCTTTATTTTTTTCGACCAATCAGCAGCATTTGGCATAGCTGATCAGTCTCTCCTGTATAAAATATTTCCTCATTTGGCTACAGGATACCACAGGCTTTCTTTAACTCTTGCTAATGTAGTTACTGCTTCTGTTTTTTTTTTTTCCAATACCTCCTGATCTGTCTCTGGAAATTAGCTCCATGGTGCTGTCTTTGAACTTTGTTTTTCTAGATACATTATTGCCTATCTCATCTAGTCTTATGGTTTATTATTATATCTTTAAAAATAGCTAAAAGAGATGATTTTAAATGTTCTTGAGTAAAGAAATAATAAATATTTGAGTTAATGGAAATGTTAATTAACCTGATTTGATCATTCCACAATGTATGCATATATCAAAACATTACATTTTACCCTATATATAGATACAGTTGTATTTGTTAAAAGTAAAAATAGTAACATAATAATTATATATTGTTAATTACTCCCAGTATCTATCTCGGCTTTATACTTCTTCAGTGAACTCCAGATTCAATTATTTGACTACTTACTTGATAGTTCCACATGAAGATACTTACTAGAAGTCTCATATTTAACATGTTCCTAATGGACTCCTGATCACATTCCCAATACCATCTGCATTATTCTAGTTTTTCAGAACAAAACCTTGGAGTCATTTTGCCATCTTTTTTTGTTACTTTTCTTTCCCCTCAAATCCAGTGAATTATTAAATCTCATGTTTCTCTCTTTAAAGTATATCCAGAATTGGGCCTCGACCCCTGCTACTATTCTATTTAAAACCATCATCATGTTGTGTGGATGACTGTAATAGTCTTCTAACTGGTCTCCTTACTTCTGCTTATTTGCCCTGAAGATTATTCTATGAAAATATTGGTCTGATGCTGTCACTTATTTGTTCTAACTCTCTGATGATGTCTCATTTCTATGACACCATCTGTAACTACATTCACACTCACTCCAGGCACATTGTCCCCTAGCTGTTCTTTGTATAAACAAAGGATACTTTGGCCTCAGGGTCTCTGCATTTTTTCCTAACTCTGTCTGGAATAACATTTATGTGAAAATACATGTTACTTCTACTTTATATCTTTATTTACCTATTCAATGAAATTTTCCATGTCATCCAATTTACATTTTGTTACCATCAGTCTTTCACACCCAGGCTTAATTTATTGTTATCTAAAATGCTAGAAAACTAAGAATTTTGTCTTTTGTTTACTGCTGTATCCCAGTGCCTAGAAGAGTGTCTGTCAGATAGTAGACACTAAGTATTTGTTGAGTGAACACATACACAGCCACACATGCTACTATCTGATACAAAGGAGTCACAGAGTCTGTTCCAGTGTTAAGAAAGTCTGAACTCTCTGATGCACCATTTCAGTGAATTTCAACCAATTACTTAATTGCTAAGACATAGTGAAATTACCATCATCAAAAAATGCTGTTATATGAATCCTATACATTCATATTAATTTTATTGTTTATAAATGTGTATAATATTAAATTCATAACTCAAACATTATTTCTATTTATCTTTGATAATTCTTATTCCAGAAGTATTTGTTTCATGCATATAATAAGAAATCAGCTGTTTGTATTCTGATTCTTCACATTTTAAAGCAAGACTTAGCTGTCTTTGACATTTGTCACATGCTTCTCTCTTGAGCTAGACATATTACTCAAGATTGATATTTTTTTCCATGTTGAGTATTTAGTTCAAATATTTTATTGCATTTATTTGACCACTACTTCAATTTGACTGTCATAGATAGAAGGTGCATGTGACAGTGATAAAACCCAGGCACAAGAGAGTACTTGTTGGGCCATAGGTGGAAAAGAGTACAGAGAGTTTTCACAACTTTTTTCTTCCTGTAAATGTATATTAATAATTCTGTATGATTGACATTATTGTTATTAGCAAATCTTTGAGAGAGCTGAGAGAAAGAGAAAGAAAGAGAGAATAACTGCAATGGCAAGAATTAAATCATGAGACTGGAATATTCTAGAAGCTAAATGAAGAAAGTAATTCATGGAGTAGACACTTACCAGCTATGCCAAATGCTGCAAATAGGATCAACAAAAGTGAAGATTAAAAAACAGCCTTTGGCATTAAAAAATATAAGGACCACTGATGATCTCTTAAAAGTAAACATTTTTATTGCTGTTGTAGAGTCATGAAAGGCCATGAAGTTTGTAAGGCTTAATTAATTAGGGTGGTCATGAATTAAGTGAGAATAATTTTCTCCAGCCTTGTTCAAATACATGGTTGCAGGCAGACAAGGGGCAGTTGTTATAAATATGTATTTTAAAAGATGCAGGCAGAGAAAAGGCTATTTGATTTCATTTGCATGAAATTGTGAAAAAAAAGGAAAGCAAACCAGGAAAGAGAAAGCAGAGATTTATTGTTGCCTGGAGCTGTGGGTGAGAACAGAGATTAACTGAAATGACATAAAGCTCTTATTTGGAAAACAAAATGTTCTAAAACTGATACATGGTTGATGGCTGCAAAAGTGCATAAAGTTATTTAAAAAATTGAATTTTACATGTCAGTGAATTTTATGATATGTAAAATATACTAAAGTTTTTAAAAAATAAACACATACGATTTACACATTATAAATATTAATAAGTATGCAACTAGCTTAATTTCTCACCAATAACCACTTGTATAACTATATTCAATTTCACATTAGACATAATATATAACTTGTTCTTTATTTCAATGGCTTATACTCAGTTGGAGATTTATAAATATGTAGCTTATTTCTTTAAAATGCAAAATTCTCACAGATCCAATATACAAGACCTGATGAATCCTAAGTGGAAAATAAATCAATAAAACAACTATACATTTTACTGCATTTGTGAATTTAAATATGGTACAAAAACTTTAAAAAGGAAAATCTAAGCTTGAAGAAAAAATAATATCTTATTGTTAGAAGGTACAAACAGATGATAAGTAGAAGGAATAAATTAAATGCTTGATAGCAGAGTAGGATGACTATATTTAATGAAATGTTACGTAATCAGGTGATGGGCACCCTAAATACCCTCGCTTGATAATTATATATTACACACATGGAGTGAAATTTCAAAAAAAACATGCACCCTATACATTTGTACAAATATAAATATAAATAAAATAAAAATGAAAATAAACACAAGAAGTAAAAATGCTTTAAAATTACAACTTGTAAAATCAATATTATTGGTCATTTACCTTCTCTGAAATTTCATCCTCATTTTACCCTACCTTCTGTGGAACTGGGGTATGCAAGAATATTCCTTTAGAATCTGCAGTTGAAAAATATTTTTTGATTTTATGTTGTTTGTATCAACAATCATCTCAGTCAAGCAATGCTTATTAATCCTGAGTCAATGGTGGGGTCAAAATATAGGAAAAGTTATTTATGAGTGTCCACTCTCCAGTGTGATATACACTTTCACGACATTATCAATGGCACATTGAAAATGACTGAGATACAAAATATCAAACAAAAAAATCAGTCACTGCAGTTCCACAGGATAGTCCAGTTCCTCTTCTGAATCACACTGGAGCCCGTTTCTCCTCAGATTGAAGGCAGTGCACCCCCACCTCTATTCTCCATCATAGAGTGGGGAGACCCTGAAAGTCTTGCTGCATGTGGGTAGCTAAGACCCTGGGCCCTGAGCTCAGATATCTCCTCTGCTAATGTCCTTGGCTCACCTGGCCTGGTCTGAGACAGTGTGACACATGGGAGGCACCAGCATGGGATCTGGGAAAGGGGTTGTAGAGGGTCTCAGAGATACAGGGAATTGTTCTCCAGGAATAGTCCAACCCTCTTCTGAGAAAAGGAAAATAAATTTTAGGCTACTATGGGCTTAGGTGGGCTTGTAGCCTTCCATGCTCAGCAAGGAAGGCAAAGAGAAAGAACATGGCTTTGCCAGAGTGCAGGAAGCACAGCCAAGGACAAAGGCCCCCTGAGGTTCATGGCAGCTCTTGGTCACTGGGCCAAAGGGCCACTTCAGAGTATAGTGTGCTGTCCAAGGACCCTCGAGGTGACAACCGAGGTTGCTTTCTGCCTGAGTTGGCTCAGCATTATGGAATCCAAGGGCTTGGGAAGCTTCAACAGGGCAGGGAGAGGAAACACTAGACACAAGCACACACAATGGAGCACAACTGCTTTGTTGTGGGGAAGCTTAAATTGTTTAAACCCTTTAGTAGTGACGTAAAGGCAAATAAGCATCATTTGCCCTCATAGTGAGGTTCTTGAAAATGTCTCTGCATCACAGTTTTTTTTTTTTGTGGTAGGATTTATTTATTGTGGAGAAACAGGAAAATAGAAATATTAATTATCATTACTAGCAATTAGTACTAACAACTTCTTATGTACCACTGCTGACTTAAATGTTTAATATCTTTGCAAATAAAAACAAATCAAGAAAATGGGACTTTATCCTGATAATTCCATCAAAAACACTTTTATTCAACTATGCATCTTTTTAAAAATACTAGATTAGAATCAGTGGAGGAAAGGGAAAGAAAAGCTTTAAAATGCAACCTGATTGTGTTGTGTAAATAGTGATTCTAAGCACTACTGAAGAACCTGTGGAGATCAGAAAGGTAGCAAGGCGAGGGCAGAGAGGAAAAGTGACACCACTGTAAAAGGAAGAGTATGCATCTGCCTTCCTGAACTTTGACAAATATCTTAAACTGCACATGTCCAGAACTAACTCATCTTTTTTTTTTTTTTTTTTTTT
Source organism: Homo sapiens (assembly GCF_000001405.40). Taxonomy (NCBI): domain Eukaryota; kingdom Metazoa; phylum Chordata; class Mammalia; order Primates; family Hominidae; genus Homo; species Homo sapiens. The sequence continues at coordinate 39,445,435 of NC_000008.11, forward strand.
TTTTTTGAGATGGAGTCTTGCACTGTCACCCGGGCTGGGGTGCAGTGGTGTGATCTCGGCTCACTGCAACCTCTGCTTCCTGGGTTCAAGCAATTCTCCTGCCTCAGTCTCCCGAGTAACTGGGATTACAGGCTCCCACCACCACTCCTGGCAATTTTTTTGTATTTGTAGTACAGATGGGGTTTCACTATGTTGGCCAGGCTGGTCTTGAACTCCTGACCTTGTGATCCACCCACCTTGGCCTCCCAATGTGCTGGGATTACAGGTGTAAGCCATAGTGCCCAGCCCTAACTCATCTTTTATCCCATCCCTTACCTAAAACCCCAGTACACCATGTTACAGGGATGAACTGTGTTGACAGTTTGAAAATAAAACTCTAGTCAGGACTAAAACTCAGGCCTACTAGAGACTGGTACATCTGGGCAATAGAAATCATGAGAAAGAGGTAGGACAGTGAGCATGATGGTCCAAAATTGCCCTCATTGCCATGAGGTTGAGATAAATCTAGTAGAACCATCCCAATTTGCATTTTAAACAGCCTTATTAAGATATAATTCACATACCACAAAAGTCACCCACTTAAAGCATAAGACTAAATGATTTTTAGTATGTTCACTGGTATGTGTGATATAAGTTTCATCTTATTATGAAGAAACTCTATACCCTTTAGCCATCACCCTCCCATACACAAGTTCTTTATCCCACACCTCTACTCCCTAAACAACCATTAAACTAAGAGCTGCCCCCGTTCTGGACGTATCATACAAATAAATACACATGTAAATATCTGGTGTTTGTGACTGGCTTTATTTACTATACATAATGGTTTCAAGGATCAACCATGTCGAGTAAAAGTGTCAATGCTTCATTCCTTTTTAGGGCTGAATAATATTCCATTGTTTGGATATACCGCATTTTGTTTATCCATTCTTCAGTTGATGGACATTTGGAATAGGAAACCCTGGACCTCTATGATGAGGTTCCTCTACCTCTGTCCCAGGAGCATCTTGGTTTGTGATGGAGACTCTGTAGGTCCTAATTGGATTCCAGGTGGGCTGGTGGATCCCTAATCCATGTGTAATGCTCTGTGATGTGTAGAAATGCACCCATCTTAGCAAGAGGGGGAGGGGAGGGGAGACTGAGGCAAGAAAATCTTACCCAGAAAAGCCCAGCTTCAGGGAAGACAGAGTGGCAAGTTTAGGTTTTCCCAAAGGACAGAGAAATATTCTAGAACAGTTTATACAGGGCCAAGGAAGCATAATACCTGATGGTACAGGTGTCTATGACCCACAGCTCAGTTTGAACAATTCATTTAAGGTAGGATTTAGGCTAATGACTAATGTGACTGTGGAGCTGACCTTACTCAGCAATACCTCCTCTCTCAATATTCCAAAACTTAGAATGAAGAGGACAAGGGGATAATTAACGATTAAAAGGGGGTGGGCTGCAGGTTTCCTCTCTTGGGATGAGAGCAGTCAGCATGCCATGGGCATCTGAGAGTGGGCAGGAGCAGTGGACAATGGAAGTGATATGGACTGCAGAAAGGGAAACACAGGGTGGAAGAGGGTGGTTCCCCAGAAAAGGCCCGCCCTCAAGCCTGGATACCATGGCCCTAAATGAGAACAGGAATTCCCGTTTTCATGCCCAAAAAGTTGCCTTTTGGCCCACCATGACCCCTATCTTGTACTCACATAAACCTTGAACTCTAGCATCCAGAAGCAGACAAGCAGATGAGGAGGCAAAACAAGCAGACGGGCAGCAGAATGACATGGCAGAGAAAGAGAGAAGAGGAGGAAAGTCTGAACACTGAGAGGAGTTTGGCTGGGGTCAGTTGGAGAGGAGTCTGGCCACTTGATGGCTCAACTCCAGGGGAAGGTCATCTTCCCACTCCGTTCCCCTCTTCCAGCTCCTCATCCATCCCACTTATTGCTACCTCCACCACTCAATAAAACCTTTCATTCATCCTGACAGAGCAGGAGCATCACGATCTTGGACAAGCACGGTCATTTTAAAGTTCACCTTGATCAAAAACTGCCTAAATCCAAAGGGCATCAGCCTAATGGGTAAGGTCAGCATGACCATAAACCACAAATAACATCTCCGACTAGAAACATTCCAAACTTCTCCCTGACCACAGACATATCAGCCCCAAGATAACCTCCCCTCTGGCTGGAGAGATGTCAGCCTCAAGATAACCTCCTCTCTGACCAGAGACATTCCAACCCTGCCATAAACTTCTCCCCTACACAGAAACATTCCAAGCTTGTGTTAAGCTCTCTCACCCTAAAAAACCAATAAAGACTCTTAGTCCATAAGAGAGAGCGCTCCTGACCGAAATCATCCAGAAGCCTCTCTCAGGTTCATTCTCCAAAATATATCTGTCTTTGACTGTTGGGCCACTTTTTGTGTTTCTTTCCTCTTTCTTTAACTCTTACACATCCTTTAAGCCCATGTGTGACCCAATTCTTCTGGGCAGGAGCTGGAATACAGAAAGCAGTCACATTGTCCCTCTGCCCTTGCGAAAAGGCAGAGGGTCTACTGAGCTGGTTAACATAAGCCATATGTGAACGGCAAAGTGGAAAGAGCTTTGTAACACTGGGGTTGCAGGCACCCACCCCCTAGACACTACCATGGGTCTGGAACCCAAAGCACTCAACCTGGCTCCTGCACCTCCCTGTCTGAGTGGTCCCCCTCCCATTAGGGGTTTGAGCAGTGGTGGCATTGAATAGGCAAGCCACACCCCTGTCACACCTCCTGTGAAGAGATCCAGGAACTCTCCTGTTTCAGCTGGGGTCCTGTCCAGAATACAAAGAAAGGTGAGTTAAAAAGCAAAACTGTCAGATCTGCCTCTTCTCCAAGACTCTGCCACCTCTCTCTTTCCTGCTCTGTTTCTCTCCGGGGAGGTCTAGCCACCACATGGGACTGGAGTAAAGCCATGGGGCAACGAAAAGCTTTTTTTTTTTTTTTTTTTTTTTTTTTTTGCTGAAAGGCTCCAGGACTGAATTCCGTAGGCCAAGACCGCAGACTTCCTTTGGTGTCTTTTCTTCTCTCAGTTTAAAATGGCTCTTATCTCTTCCTTTATAACGTCAAAGGCTTTGCTACAGGCTGCGGCAATAATATTAAATAGAATGAGCATTTGGCTCAGCCATCAAAGATGCAAATCAGAACAAATACTTCCCATTTGTTCTTAAATGTGCCATCCCCAGCCTGACAGCCACAGGCACGTGTGGCCCACAGCACATCCTCTCCTTACTCCCTCCTGTCCTGACTCAGGCACCTAGAGGTGTCCACAGCATGCACAAGAGGGACAGGAAAAGACTGTGGCTGCCACAGGGACCCAGCACAGCCAGCTACCTGCCCATTGTGCCAAAAGAACATTTCCTCCCCAGCCAAGGAATTTAGCCAGGTCTGAACCAGAGGAAGAATACAAGGATTAAAGGGACCCACTTTGCACTGAGCAAGGGGTTCTTCCTCCAGGACCTTCCTCTTTCGCCTCATAAGCTGTTTTTTCTTTTTTACATTTTCTAAGAGAGGGTTCCTACCCCCAGCACTCTGCTTATAATAGAGAAAATAATGGAAGAGTGACCCCTACTGGCTGATTACTGAAAATTCAGCAGGGCTCATTTGAGACAATCTAAACAGATACAGCCCCTGAAATACTTTGTCTCAAACTCGATTCGAAGCGTCAGGCTGAAGTCTTAGCAAGGAAAATCAGATTTGAGGGATCCAAAGCCAGGCAACAGGCACAATGTAAATGGGCAGGACCAATTCCTGCCAACTAAACCACCCCCACCTCATGAAAGGAGGCCATGTTCCATGGCATAATGAGGCCCAGGGAACTCAAAGTTTGCCAATAGTTGGGAAGATGGAGGCATAGGTGAGAGTGGATAATTCCTATTCTCTAGGCCTTCCCTGCTTCAAGGGTGCATGGTGCATTAGCACCCATGGTGGCACCTGCTAAGGTTGCCAGAACTTGAGGACAAAAAGATGGAAGAGAAAGGGAGGATGTTTGCTTTCTCTCTCACACCCTGGGTTTTCACTGAAAGAAAGAATAGAGTTGAGGGATGCCTCTATTCCCTGTCTTTCAGAACGGGCAACCAGCTCTCTTTACCACCCCCAGCTTATACTCCTCTGGAGTGTATTCTGAACCACTGGAACTGCTTTGACACTCAGAATGTGGAGGAAAAATGCCTCATAGCCCTCTGCATAAATTTTTGGCCAACTTATGGACTGGAAGACCATTCATTTCAATACCATCAGGCAGTTGGACCTTTTCTGTAGACATGAGGACAGATGGTGTGAGGCCCCATATGGGCAGGCTTTCTATACCTTGAAAGGCAATCCAGACCTTTGCTAACAGTGTAGGATTGATCCAGCCCTCCTGTTTGTTGTCTCAGGAAAGGCTGCAAGGGGTGAGCCAAGGGAACTAAAGATACAAATCCTAGAGGCACCCCCAGAAGAAGAGCCAGCTCCCTCCAGCCCTGCTCCTCCAGGTCCACCTCAATCTCCCTATCCAACTTCAGCCTCTCACTTACCCCCTCCTAGAAATCCTCACCTGAGACAAGCCCCAGTCTCACTCTTGCCCTTCCAACAGATGCCTCAGATGCCTGGTGAATTTGACCCCAGTAAAGTCCAGATCCCCTTCTCTCTACAGGAGTTAAAGCAAATTAAGGGGGATCTTGGCAAGTTTTCAGATGACCCTGTCCAATATATAGAGGCTTTCCAGAATTTCATCCAAGTATTTGAACTCTTCTGGAGAGACATTGTTACTTTTGAATCAGACCCTGACAGACACTGAGAAGCAGGCTGCTCTGCAAGCAGCAGAGATTTGGGGATGAGCTTTGTATCACATACAGCATCAGGGAAGAGGGCGAAAATTATCCAACTGGAAGAGAGACAGTACTAATGAATTACCCTGGATGGGATCCCAATGGTGAGATGAGAGACTGGAAGAGGAGACAGTTTCAGGTTTGCATAATGGAGGGCGTGTGTAGGACCAGGACCAAGCCTCTCAATTACACTAAGTTATCCATGATTGACCAGGGAGTTGATGAAAATCCCACTGCCTTCTTGGAAAGGCTTAGAGAGGCCTTGGTAAAGCATCTCTTTACCTCCTGATTCAGTTGTGGAACAACTAATCCTGGAGGATAAGTTTATTATTCAGGCAGCCCCTGATATCAGGAGGAAGCTGCAAAAAACAGGCCCTGGGACCAGATAGTACTTTACATAACCTCCTGAAAGTAGCCATCTCAGTCTTTTATAATAGAGACAGGGAGGCCCAGGAAAGACAGGGGAAATACAGGAAAGAGACAAGGGCTTTAATATCCACCAGGCAAGCCCACAAACCCCAGAATTCCCAGGGTGTACCTGTTAACTGCTACAGATGTGGCAAGACAAGCAGACCAGCAGATGAGGGGTTTGAGCGGTGGGTGACCGAACAGGTGAGCCACTCCCCTGCCGCATGTCCTGTGAGGGAGATCAGTGATCTCTCTTGTTTCAGAAGGCTATAAAGCTTATGATGTAACAACTTCCAAAGTTACAAAGACACAAAGCCGCTCATCTCCCACTAAAGGATCATGGAGGGTAGAAGAATCAATAGACACAAGCTTGTATGCTTTTAGTCATATGATTTATTTTTTTCTGTGAAGTTGAAAGTTTTAAGTTAATGGTGAGTTTCTTGGTAATATCCTTTCTTCATCCGATGGCTTTGATTTTATCACTTGGTTACTGTTGCAGAGGAAATGCAGAAAAATAAAAATGTTAAATCTTCATTGTTAATAAAAGCTGTTATTTACTATTCAACTATTAGTAGAACACTTAATTAGTATAATGAGACACTGATTATACTGGTGAAGTCTGTGTCTGTGATTCAGGAAGTTTATAAATCTAAATTTATTTTCCATAAATGGATTGTAATTGCTACATTAAAAGGGAATATTACAAATTGATATTTATATTTTTAATTTACATAGTCTCTAAACTTTACATGGATAAATGAAAATCATCAACAAAGAGACAGAAGAAAAATATAAAGGAAAACCACAAAAAGGAAACAGAAAAAAACAGCAATATAAATATGTGAAAAAATAATAAAGAATTACTATACATTTTTCTCTATGTATCTGAGGAGGAAAAGAACTTCCAAAAACCCTCTGTGCATTTCCAGTGGGTTCTTAAATACACTTGTTCAAAGACAAACTAACTCTTCACTCCCCTCCACTTCCTCACCCCAAACCAAACCAGTTATTTCTCTACTACACAATGTGTCACTGGTAAAAGGTGTCACTATCCATTCTGTCAGAAGAGTGGAGGTTTTTTTAGTTCTCTCTTTTATTCTAACCCATAAACGTCCATCCAGTCACTACTCTAACAGATTGGGCCTCTGTCATACCTCTGAAAATGTTTTTGTGCTTTTCCTCCTCTCCAATCCTGTCCTCATCACACCTTTCTTGTGCATTCAGCAGTCTCTTAACTGCTTCACTACTTTCCATTTGTGACTGAATCTACTTTCCCTATTTTATCCCAGTGAAATTTGTAAACTGCAAGACATATAGTACCAAATCCCTTTCTTACCATCTTAAAAAGTACCTTACCTATGTTCTTAGTCATATAGAAGAATATTTAAACTCCTTATTGTGGCATACAAGATACTTATTTTGGCTTATAGTTACCTACATGGATTTTACATCTCAGCATTCATAAACTTGCAAATTCCCACACTTTGGGAGGCCAAGGCAGGTGGATCATGAGGTCAGGATATCGAGACCATCCTGGCCAACGTGGTGAAACCCCATCTCTACCAAAAATGCAAAAATTAGCTGAGCATGGTGGTGTGTGCCTGTAGTCTCAGCTACTTGGGAGGCTGAGGCAGGAGAATCGCTTGAACCCAGGTGGCAGAGGTTGCAAGTGAGCCGAGATCACACCACTGCACTCCAGTCTGGGCAACAGAGTGAGACTCCATCTCAAGGAAAAAAAAAAAAAGCCAAAATTTTGTAAATAAGGAAGGGTGGTTTTACTTTTTAGCCTTGCTATTTTCCTGCTGTATATCAATAGCCATATTATTTAAGCATTTTTTCTTACATTCTGCATCCAAACTGTCAGTACATTCTGTTGTGTTACCTTCAAAATGTATCCATAAGACCATCCTTACCACCCCTGGTCTGAAGCGCCATCTTTTCTCTCCTGGATTACTGCAGTAGTTTCTCCACATCTACTCTTGCCATCATATAGACTGTTTTCAACAAAGCAGCTTTTTAAAGGGTAAGTCACATGCTTAGAATCTGCACCATCCAGTGATTCCTCCCTTTCACTCAAAGTAAAAGACAGATGGCCTCCAAGAGTGCCAAGACCCTCCATGGGTGTTACTTCTCTGGCCTTATCACAACTGCAACCCTCTTGGTAACTCTGCTCCAGATAGAATGACATCCCTGATATTTCTCCAACATTTCTGACTTATTTTAGCATCATATCATATATATGTTTTGAAAGCTGCTGTGAAGATATTTGCATGGATAATGCCAGTATATGCCTGTGTGGGATAGATTTGATGTGCAGCTGGAATGGAAAAGCTCTATCTTTATCTCTGGGAAAGCCTGGATGTCTGGTTTTGACTTTTTCCCAGGATAAGGGGAGTAGTATTTATGATGAGCCATTTACAATTTAAAATAAGAAAGCTTGGGCCATAGCATCTCTCTAATTCCCAATGCTTAGTGGCAGATAAGGAAACAGAGACCCACTGACTTAACTATAAACAAAGTCAGATATGAGGGAATGGCAGCTAAGTAATTAGATGAACTGTTGATCTCCACTCTTGGTTGAAGTTTTGAATTTTCCATTTACTCCCAGTGATAGGCCTAACACATCAAATATAATTATTTCTTTACACATATGAATTAGAACTTTGAACAATATATATGAATGTATATTTATCCCATCTTAAAGATTAAAAAAAAAGTATCGTTCTGCCTTTGAAGAAAGGTGCATTTAACATTTTGCCTGGCATCTCATGTGTCTCAATCAATGTAAATTCCATTCCCAATCCCCAGTCATATATCAGGCTATATTTGTTCCAGATTGTGGCAATCTTAAGAGTTTAAATTCTGAAGTCGGATTGTCTTAAGTTAAACTCCACTACAATACTCACTAAAATTCTATTTTCCTGGGGAATCAATTTATTTCCTTTTATCCATTTCCTCATCTCTAAAATATGGGTAACAATACCTATGACATTTTAGTAAGGATCAATCATCGTAAATGTGGAGAGACAATCTGTGTAAATCGCCCAATGAGAACCTTACATAAGGCCAGAGGAGATAATGATTGTTTATGAATATTTTACAAAAATATTTATAATCTCTTTAACATCATTCCTTATTACAAAAATGTTGTTCAATAAATCTCTGGCTAAATATTAGTTAACATTAAATATTTCTAAATAAGTATAAAACATAATTAACATCAAATATATTTTCTTATCTTTGTTTTACTATATAGTATTAATACATAGGAGTCAAGATGATGAAATATGGGAATAATAGTTTTCTCATACTGAGGTATTGTTAAAAGTAAAAAAATACTCCATGAGTATTATTTCTTAACAATTTATTTTACGTCACCTTTAACTCTGTGACTGGCTGCTGTTACTACCGCTGTCTTCTGAGATAGATCTGTATAAAAGAGATAACATTAGGAAACACTGTAATCTTGAGCGAAATCAAGAAAAGTTTAAAAAGCTACATTTGCACTAATTAATCAATTAATATGTATCAAGTGGCCAAGTGCAAGCAGAGCAGTCAATTTGGAAACAATGGACATAGACAAGAAGGGGTGATGTCAATTATAAAGACTTCGAGTGACAAAGAGATTGACCTAGTTCCTGATCATCTGGTTCATTGCTATTTTGCTTCAGCCCTACTTCATTTCTTACCCTGGCAGCCCTGAAACCACTTACTGTTATAAAACTTAGGCTGTTGTGACCAGATTTTGTCAGTTTTAATCAATGATCCCAGTTATTCTTTCTTTTGAATTATCAAATCCCTACATATTCATAAAGCAAATTATGGTTTGATGTGGTGTTAGAGTTAAAAAAAAAAGCTGTGCAAGTACCTTACTTATAATTTCAGAAAAACATGAGCCATATTAATTATGCACAAAATACAAAGTATCCTATCTGAGTTCTCTCCCTCATTCTGTACCATCTCCAATTTTTCTTACCTTCTACATATTCTATTCACAAAATTTTCTTCCCTGACTATTTCTGTGGACCTTTTTGGCACAACTGGTTGTCAATGCAAGAGAAATGGGGTTCCTTGGGAAGTCAACAGAACTTCCTAAACAATTGTAGAAAACTTGGCTTTCTATGTGAAAGGCAATGAGGCTTTACTGAATAGCTTTAATTGTTCTTGGCCCTGTAAGAACAGGCAGGATACTTAGATGATTGAAATAAAATAAAAACATAAAGAAATAAAAAAATTAAAACTTTGCTATATGCTGAGAACTTACTCAATATTTCTTGTCTCACTCTGTTGCCCAGGCTGGAGTGCAGTGGCATGATCTCGGCTCACTGCAACCTCTGGCTTCTGGGTTCAAGCAATTCTCCTGCCTCAGCCTCCCGAGTAGCTGAGATAGCTGGGACTACAGGCACATGCCACCACGCCCGGCCGACTTTTTGTATTTTAGTAGAGACGGGGTTTCACCGTGTTGCCCAGGCTGGTCTCAAACTCCTGAGCTCAGGCAATCTGCCCGCCTCGGCCTCCCAAAGTGGCGGGATTACAGGCGTGAGCTTACTCAATATTTCTAAACATTAATCCAAACCATCCTAGAGTCTCTTCTTGGATTCTGAATTGCACTGAATTCTTCCCACAATGAATTTTAATATTAAATTAAAAATAATACATTTACTTACCTGCTGCTTACTGTTCCCACTTTGCTCCGAAATCTCTTCATTTTATTCCATTTAAGACTAACAATAGCAATTAAAATGAGCAAAGGTGAAAAAATGTAGAAACTGATCAAAAGACCATTGTTTTTAGGAGCAGCACGTCGTTTTGGAAGCAAGGGTACACTTTTTTCTGAAAACATGAGAGTACATTTTTAACTATTTGAAAAATGATGAAATCATACCAGAATTTGAATTATAGAAATTTAGAACTCAACACAGTTAAAGAATGAATATATTTGAATTTAAAAGTGTTTTTAGCCTTCTCTGACTGGGCCCCAAAGTGCATTATACATTGTGTATGTCAACTCAATACACTTATACATATAATTGACAATACACAGTCATTGGCAATATGTAATATTGTCATGAATGTACTTATTTTATTGACAGTAAAATTTTTATTCACATAAAATACATATTTATTGACATAAATTTACTTATAATCCCTTCATGTATACTTAATATTTACTTATATGATATAATCTATTTTAGTGTATCATATTTCTTTTTGTGAACTGCATTAAGTACATTCACATTGATGTGCAACCATCACCACCACCCTGCTTCAGAACTTTCTCATTCTGCAAAACGGAAATATTTTACCCATTCAATATTAACCCACCATTTTTCCCTCTCCCCAGAGGAGCCACCATTATTCTACTTTGACTCCATGAATCTGACTAACCTAGGTACTAATGGAAGCAGAACTCAGCACCGGCAACCACCATTCTACTTTGAGTCTGAGTTTGACTGCTCTAGGTACCTCATAGAAGCAGAATTGTATAATATTTGTCATGTTCTGACTGGCTTATTTCACTTAATCATAAGGTTTTCAGTTTATATCTACATTGTAGGGTGTGACAGGATTGTTCATTTCAAGGGTGAATAATCTTCCATTGTATTTCTACACCTTATTATGGTTATCCATTTATTTGTCAATAAACATTTGGGTTTTCCATGTTTTGGCTATTGTAAACAATGCTGCTATAAGCATGGGTATACAAATATCTGCTCGAGTCTCTGCTTTTAATTTTTTTGGGCATATACGTAGATGTGGAACTCCTGGATAATATGCTAATTCTGTGTTTAATATTTTTAGCAACCAGCATGATGTTTTCCACAAAGACTGCATTATTTTACATTTTCACCAGCAATGCAAAGAGTTCCAATTTTTTCATATCCTGGTCAACACTCGATATGCTTTGAATTTTTCTTTGTAATAGCCATCCTAATAGGTACAAATTGGTATTTCATTATGGTTTTTACTTGTAATTCCCCAAGGATTAGTAATATTAATATGTGAAAAACACAACTTTTTCTGTGCTTACTAGCCCACTCCACAGCTTTACATTTCCTCAAAGATGTATTAAAAGTATGCAACTACTTTGCCCATTTTTAATGAAATTATTTGTTTTGTTGTTGTTATTGACTTGTAAGAGTTCTTTATATATTCCTAATATTAATCCCTCATTATATAGATTATTTTCAATATTTTTGCCCATTCTATGGATTATCTTTTCACTCTTGATAGTATCCTTTGATGCACAACAGTTTGTAATCATGATGGATCCTAATTTATCTGTTTTTTTCATTTACTGATGGTGCTTTTGGAGTCATATCAAAGAAATCATTGCCAAATTCCATGTTATTACAATTTCCTATTATGTCTTCTGTTTTAAGGGTCTATAATATTAGTTCTTGCATTTAGATTGTTGATCCATTTTGAGTTAATTTTGGTATATGGTATCAACAAAGGCCCTACCTCATTCTCTTGCATGCAAATACCCAGATATCTCAACATGATACATTGAAAAGACTGAACTTCCTCCAGTAAATGGTCTAGGCATTCTTGAAAATCATTAGACCATACATGCGAAGATTTATTTCTGGGATCCATTTTTTATTCCTCTGGAAAATTTCAGCTTTCTTATATTTTTGTCCAATGTGATATATCAACTGTCAAGAAAGTACAACAAAGTCCTGGAGACTTCTGTCTTTCTGTCATAGCTTTTGTTGAACACATTTGAGAATTCAGCCTTTTTTTTTAACTGCTTGTAATAATATGAGGAAGACTATTGATGAAACAAAATATTATACAATTATTAATCTGACAAATGCAAAGAAACATAAAGCAACAGTTTAGCCTGTAATGATTATCTTAGTCTGTTCAGGCTGTTGTAACAAAAATATCATAAACTGGGTGGCTTACAAACAACAGAAATGTATGTTTCATCGTTCTGGAGGCAGGCAATTCCAAAATAGAGGCACTGGCAGATTTATTCTCCGGGCCTATTTCCTGGTTCATAATAATCTTCTCGTTCTAATCTTACATAGTGGAAGGGATGAAGGATCTCTCTTGGTTTTCTTTTATTAGAACACTAATCCCATTCAAGAAGGCTCTGCCTTCATAACCTAATTAGATACCAAAAACTCCACCTCCAGGTGCCATCACATTATGAATTAGGTTACATGACAAAAATGTTGAGGAATGCAAACATTTAGTCTACAAAAATGTTGCAGTTGACCATATAAATGAAATATCAGACTACAAATCTTTAGATGATGATATCCTAATTTTTTTCAAGTGAAGAATCAGTGAGTCAATGATATATTTCAAAAGACAAAATGGATACATAGAATTCTCATCCAGTAATCATATAATAGGAAGGACTTCAGCAAGCAATATTTTTCATAAATACCTGGGATTTCTTGGACTGTAAATAAGATCTAGAATAAATAGTATTCCAGCTTCTATGGAAGATGTTCATGAACATTTATTGGATATTGTTCACAAGTGGACACAGTGAAGTTAAATATTTATGCAGAGTTGATTGAATGGAGTCAGTGTAGGAGTTTAAAAACTGAGTAATTATTTTAGATGTTTATTAAAATGAACTGAAAATATTTTAATTATAGTACAAACAGGATAACATCAGGAAAACTGTGACCATCAAAGTTGTCTTTTGAAGATGTAAATGCACACACAAAAAAAGAATCACAAAGTATAGTCACCTCTAACCTACTAGAGATGTACTTCAAATGTTCCTTGCAGTCATAGAAAGGATATGTTCTAGATCCATGTTTGACAGCAGGAACTGTATTCAAAACACATAGAACACTTTAGTTATATACCCTTCAAAGACTAGAGTAAATACTGAGCTTTCTATATTTAAAATTTTTATTGAAATTTTTCATAAAGCTGATTTCACTACTTTTATTTCTACTTTTATATATTTCCTGTAATATGTTTTTTATATAAAAAATAGTTTTGGGCCTACAAGTTATAGGTAACTAATAAGGGTTAATTTCAGGCAAAATAGAATTCAAGAGAAAGATAAACATTACAGAAATAATAAAAGCAACAATGCACCAGAAATAAATCTAAACTACACATACAATAATGAAGAAACAAACTAACTGATAAAATGAAAAAAAGTACATAATTATGATTAGAATTTTTAAAAACTCCTCTCTTAGTAATTGATAGAAGTAAAAAGAAATCAGTTGGTCAGTTCCATGAAAAAGCATAAGCTACTTTAACTCATCTAATATGAAATAGATAACATTATTGTTTACATATTTATTAAGAAAATATTTATTTAAGAAAAATCTTTATTTTAAAAGCTCCCCACAGAATAAATCTCCAGACCCATATGAATTCACTGGACATTATTACTAAATATTTTTTAATGCTAATTTTAAGCAATCACTTCTAGAATACAGAAGAGGAGTAAACACTTCCCAATTCATTTTATGATATCAGTTTTAGTTGACAACAAAACAAGACAAAAACAAGTACAAGGAAGAGAGAGAGAGAGAGACAGAGACAGAGACAGAGAGAGAGGCAGGCAATATCTCTCACCAACCTAGACACAAAAATCCTCAACAGAATATTAACAAATCAAATTTAGTAAAGTACAAAAATTAATAAATAATGATGAAGAATTTATTCTATACTTTCAAAATTGGTTCAAAATTAAAAATCAATGTAATTGATCATATCAGTGGACTACAAGGTTCATACATTCCTATCAACCGATACTAAAAAGCATTTGAAAAATTAATACTGTTAATAACAAAACATCTCAATGAATACATATTAAAGGAAGTTCCTCAAACTAATAAATACTATCTACAAGAGCCCTACAGCTACCATCATACTTAATGGTGAAATACTAAATTCTTTTCTGCTAAAATAATTATTAAGGAGAGTTGTTTACAACTCTTATTCAGCATAGGCCTGGAAAGTCTAGGAAGTGCAATAAAATAATAAAAGTTATACATATTGGAAAGGAAGAAAGAAAGCTGTTATCTTCAAAGCTATTTGAAGAGGGCATAATCACTTACGTAGAAATCCCAAAGAACTTGCAAAAACAAAAAAAAATTCTCAGAAAACCGAATTCAATTATATTGGGAAATACAGGATTGATGTGCAAAAATCAATGGTATATTTGCATATTAACAAGGAACAAGGGGAAATAAAAACATAAAAAACACCCAACATCACCTAAAATTGCTCTAAAGATAATGAAATAAAAATGAAATAATAAATGCATAGGATATGGTAAAAATTACAATAGCCTGATGAAAGAAATCAAAGTAGATTTCTTTGATTTCTTTCATCAGACTATTGAAGAATCAAAGCAGATTTCTTTGATTTCTTTCAAATGGAGAGATATGCTGTGTTCATAGACTGAAAGACCCAATAATAATGAAGATGCAAATTCTTCCTAAATTGATTTGTAAAAATCACAGCAAGATTTTTAAATAAAGATAGATGAACTCATGCTAGTATGTATGCATATAGAGAAAGAAGAGCTCTGAGAATAGTTGTAGCAATTTTGAAAAAAAAAAAGAATTAAGTGACAGGAATTCCTTTTTTTCCCCCAATGTTAAAGAATGTGGTACTTGTGTATGGAATAAGACAAATCAATGGAACCGAACAGAGACCTAGTAAAATACCAACAAAAATATGTTTAATTAATTTTTGACAAAGTTGCAAAAACAATTCAATAGATGAGAGATACCTTTTCTAAAAAATTGTGCTAGAATTTTTGTAGTTTCAGGTCTTGGATTTAAGGCCTTGATCCATTTTGAGTTGATTTTTGTATAAGGTGAGAGATGAGGACCCAGTTTTATTCTCCTACCATGTGGCTTGCCAATTATCCCAGCACCATTTGTTGAGCAGGGTGTCCTCTCCCCACTTTATGTTTTTGTTTGCTTTGTCGAAGACCAGTTGGCTGTAGGTATTTGGGTTTATTTCTGGGTTCTCTATTCTGTTTCACTGGTCTATGTGTCTATTTTTATACTAGTACCATGTTATTTCAGTGACTATGGCCTTATAGTATAGCTTGAAATCAGGTAATGTGATGCCTCCAGATTTGTTCTTTTTGCTTAGTCTTGCTTTGGCTATGCAGGCTCTCTTTTGGTTCCATATGAACTTTAGGATTATTTTCGGTGAAGAATGATGGTGGTATTTTGAGGGAAATTGCGTTGAATTTGTAGATTGCTTTTGGCAGTATGGTCATTTTGACAATATTGATTCTACCCATCCATGAGCATGGGATGTATTTCCATTTGTTTGTGTCCTCTATGATCTCTTTCAGCAGTGTTTTGTAGTTTTCCTTGAACTCCTTGGTTAGGTATATTCCTAAGTATTTTATTTTATTTTTTGCAGGTTTGTAAAGGACTTGAGTTCTTGATTTTATTCTCATCTTGGTTGCTGTTGGTGTAAAGGAGAGCTACTGATCTGTGTACATTAAAAAGAACTCATTATATGAAAAAGATACTTGCACACACATGTTTATAACGGCACAACTTGGAATTGCAAAAATGTGGAACAAATCCCAATGCCCATCAATCAATGAGTGGATAAAGAAACTGTGAGATAAAGAAACTGTGAGATAAAGAAACTGTGTGATGACATATATATTTATGATGAAACACTGCTCAGCCATTAAAAGGAATGAATTAATGGCATTTGCAGCAACCTGGATGGGATTGGAGACTATTATTCTAAGTGAAGTAACTCAAGGATGGAAAACCAAACATCGTCTGTTCTCACTCATAAATGGGAGCTAAACTACGAGGATGCAAAGGCATAAGAAAAATGCAATGGACTTTGGGGACTCAGGGGAAAAGGATGGGAAGGGGGTGAGGAATAAAAGACTACAAATTGGGTTCAGTGTATACTGCTCAGGTGATGGGTGCACCAAAATCTTACAAATCACCACTGAAAAACTTACTCACGTAACCAAATACCACGTTTCCCCAAAAAGCTATGGAAATAAAAAATTTTAAAAAATATGCTAGAGTAATTGAACACCCATTTATCAAAAATTTAACTTTGATATATATCTCTCATCCTATATAAAATTACTTTAAAGTGTATTATGGGCTTAAATGGAAACCATAATGCTATACTTTTTAAATCTTCAGGTTCTAATACTCATAAAGAGGTCATATACTTGACACCAGAAGCACAATCCAGTACCTAAAAAAGTGCACCTTATCAAGTAAAAGTCATATAAAGAGAAATTTTATTCTGAGAAAAAACAAATTATAGACTTGGAGAAAATGTGTACAAATCACACATCCAACAAAATACATGTATTTGTAAAACATAACATCTTTCATAAACATGGCATTTTTTTCTTTTTCCCTTTTCAATTTCTTTCATCAGTGTTTAATAATTTTTATTGTAGAGATCTTTCACTTCTTTTAGTTTATTCCTAGGTAGTTCATCTTATTTGTAGCTATTGTAAATGGAATTGCTTTCTTCATTTGTTTTTCAGATTGTTCACTGTTGGCATTTTGTATTCTGCATCTTTACTGAATTTATCAGTTCTATAATGTTAAAATACCTGTACCACACAAAGCAATTTACAGCTTCAATGCAATTGTTCACAGAAATAGAAAAAATAATCCTAAAACGCATATGGAATGACGAAAGACCCAGAATAGTCAAAGTAATCCTGAGCAAAAAGAACAAAACTGGAGGAATCATGTTACCTGACCTTATACTACACAAAGCTATAGTAACCAAAATAGCATGATGCTGGAATAAAACGGATACACAGAAAAATTGAACAGAATAAAGAACCCACAAATGAATCCACGTAATTAAAGTCAATTTATTTTCAATAAAGGTGTCAAGAACATACACTGGGGAAAGAACAGTCCCTTCAATAAATAGTGCTGGGAAAAGTAGATAGCCATATGCAGAAGAATGATGCTAGATCCCTATCTCTTGCCATATACAAAAATCAAATAAAAATGGATTAAAGACTTAAATCTAAGACCCTAAACTGTAAAACAACTAGAACAAAACACTGGGTAACCTCTCCAGGACATTGATTTGGGCACAGATTTCTTGAGTAAGACCTCAGAAGCTCAGGCAATCACAGCAAAAATTGACAAATAGGATCACATCAAGCTAAGAAGCTTCTACATAGAAAAGGAAACAATCAACCAAGTGAAGGGACAACCTACAGAACCAAAGAAAATATTTGCAAACTACCCATCTGACAAGGGATTAATAACCAGAATATGTAAGGAGCTCAAACAACTCAATAAAAAATTAATTTTAAAATGGGCAAAAGATCTTTTAGACATTTCTCAAAAGAAGACATACGAACGGCAAACAGCTATATGAAAAGGGACTCAACATCACTGATCATCAGAGAAATGCAACTAAAAACTACAATGAAATATTATCTTATCCCTGTTAAAATGGCTTTTATCCAAAAGATAGGCAATAATGTGAGAATGTCGAGAAAGGGGAGCACTTGGTACACACTGTTGGTGGGAATGTAAATTAGTACAGCCACTATAGAGAACAGTATGGAGATTCCTCAAAAAAACTAAAATAGAATTACCACAAGATCCAGCAATCCCACTGCTGAGTATATATCTAAAAGAAAGGAAATCAGTGTATCGAAGAGATATCTGCTCTCCTGTGTTTATTTAAAGCAGCATTATTCACAGTAGCCAAGATTTGGAATCAACCTAAGTGTCCATCAGTGGATGAATGGATAAAAAAATGTGGTACATATACACAACCGACTGCTATTCAGCCATAAAAAGGATAAAATCCTGTCATTTGCAACAACATGAATGGAATGGAGGCTATTATGTTAAGTGAAATAAGCCAGGCACAGAAAGACAGATGGTGCCTGTCTGTTTTAATTCATATGTGGGAGCTAAAAACAACAAAAAAATTGAACTCATAGAGAGTGGAATCATGGTTGCCAGAGCCTGGGAAGGGTAGTGGGGATGGGGGGATAAAAAGGGAATGGTTAAGGTTACAAAAATACAGTCAGAAGTAATAAGGTCTGGTGTTCAGTAGCACAATAGAGAGACTATAGTTAACATTGATTTATTGTGTATTTTAAAATAACGGAAAGAGTGTGATTAGAATGTTTCTAATACAAATAAATAATAAAGGCTTGAGATGATGGATACCCCAATTACCATGATCTGATCATTACACATTGCATGTCTAACAAAACAGCACATGTACCCCATGAACATATACAACTATTATGTACCCATAATAATGAAAAATAAAAATTAAAAAACATAATATCTCTCAAAACTGAACATTTAAAAAACACAAACAATCCAATGAGTAAATGGTAAAATGTATGAACAGACTTTTCACTAAATAGAATATACAACCGAATAAGCATATTAAGGATGTTCAAAATCATTATCCGTGAGGAGGTGCAAATGAGATATTAATAAACAGCTAATGGAATGATTAAAATTCAAGAAAAAACAGTGGTACAATCAGATGTTGGTGAGGGTGCAAAAACGTGGTAATTCATATATTGTTGGTGGGACTGTCAAACAGTACAGCCATTCTGAAAAAATATTTAGCAGTTGCTTTTAAAATTATAAGTAGTTTACAATATGTCTCAGCTATTTCAGTCTTGTGCATATATCCCAGACAATTAAAATATTATTTTCACATAGAATCTTCCACATGAATGTTCATCTCAGTTATTCATAATAACTAAAACTGGAAACCACCCAAATGTCCTTCAGTGGATCAAAGGCTAAAAAATTATGGCATATCCATACAAATGAAAACTAGTCATCAATAAAAAGGAATTAAGTATTGGTACATGCAAGAACTTGGATCCAGTTCAGGGAAATTATGCTAAAGAAAAAAATCCAGTTGCACAAATATAAAAACCATATGATTTTGTTTATATAACATTCATAAAACCATGTAATTAGAGAGACAGAGAACCATTTAATGGTTGGAAGGAGAGTTAGAGATGAGGGAAAAGAAAAATATCTATCTACAAAGGGGTAATGTTAGACAACCATGTAGTGATGATACAGCTATGCATTGTCATTGTGATAGTAGTACATAAATCTAAACTGTGATAAAATTGCATAGAACAAACACACACACAAACACACAGACACACAAATGAGTGTAAATATACTAGAGAAATCTGATTAAGGTCTCTGTATTTTACCAATGTCCATTTCCCAGTTTTGACATTGTAGGACAGATTTGCAACATTTTAACATTGGTGAAGGATGAGTGTAGGTTGATTTATTCTTCTTTTAATTTACTTATGTATATATTTATTTCAACTACTTTTTTCATCCTAAATTAACTGAAACTACTTTCTTCAGTATCATCTACTAATAAAGTACCCCAAATTCTAAGTTGTGGGAAGAAGGAAACTCATTCTAACAACCTCTTGGCATATATTTTTTCTTGATCTTCAGTGTCTTTAACTCCTTTGCTCTAAGTTGCCATATTAAGATATTCATACATCTAGTTATATGCCACTTCAGCATATTTGACATATGAATCCATTCCTCAAGCATTTATTCAGGTATACAATTCTAATAGTAAAATAAAGGTTTAGTAAAAACAAATATATTTATTCAGGACTTTTCATCAAATCAATTTAAAAATGTTCAGTGCCACAGACTACTCATATGCTGTAGGCATGAAAAATTTAATGATTTTTCTCTTTCAATATTACAGTTACCTTTAAAGATTGAATTTGATTGTGAATTGGGATATCACAATAGGTGACATCCTTGGAATTCACAGACTATATAATAAAACTGCAACGTTTTCTATAATTTAAGTATACTTACATAGAAAACTCTGCTGTATAAATAGAAATATTCTGGGAACCCTGCTTAAAGTGAAGGGGAGGCCTTTTAAAATGTTTTCTAGGTGAGAACTAAAACTATACAGAAAATTTTGGTTGGCAGAAAGATTCAGAGCTGTCTGGCTCTAGATCCAATTTAGTAGCCACTAGTCACAGTAGTCATTTAAATTTAAATTAAATAAGGTAAAATACAGTTGAAATTTCAGTTCCTTAGTTTCACTATCCACATGTTGGGTGTTTGATAGTTATACAGGATGGCAAAGATGTAGACCATTTCTATGAGAACAGAAAGCTGCATTGAAACACAGATCTAGAGACTAACCTACTGTAAGCCAAAATCCATCATTGATACTTCCTCCTGGTGATGACATTGCTGGCTCACAATCTGGAGGAGCATAACCAGGATCACATTGACAATGGAAATGTTCATTGCAAATCTAAAACCAAAACAAACAAAAAAAGCATTTATGTACAACCAAAAATTCACTGCCTTATATGTGATTGTTAGTCAATGTAAATTTTAAAAATATTACCATTTAATATAAATTTTAAATTTAATATGAAAAATAATTTTAAAAATAAAAGGCAGTATAATAAATGTCCATGCAATATATTTTCAAACATCATAGAGGTATCTTCTTGTTTGTCTCTTACATTTCTAAATAAAGTGAATACCATTCTTGATACAATTTAAATGCTTTTTATTAGAAGGGCGTACAGATTATGATGCTAGAAACTATAGAATGGTGGGAGTAAAAATTTATTATAAATTGTGTTGGATTTAAAAAAATAGTTGTGATGAGGGCCAAATTTTATTTAAAAAAATAGGGGGGGAAAGCCAAAATTTTAAGATGCTTGCTCAATCAGATACAGACACAAAAAATTTATATAGAAAGCTAGAAAAAATGTATAAATGTGATCTGGCAGACGAATGGAAAAAGGGCCAGTAGAGAATTCAGAAATAAATGCATACAAAATTGATTACGAAAGTAAATTAAAATTAAGAAAGAAAAGAAACTGTAAATAATAGATGTGTAAGTAATTTTGAGGAAAAATTGATGTAAGCCACACAGGCAGGCCACTTTTTCCTGAATTACTATAAAAAATATGAATCATCAATATGGCAGAAGACACTGACCACAAAGAGACAAATGCATGCTTAGAATGACTTATAAAGTTTACAACATTTCTATAAGCCAGTAGATAAGTTTACAATAGATGAGCAAACAGAAATGCAAGTGGCAGATATGACCATATATACTTAGGAACTGTATTATTAATTAGCAAATAAATGCAAATTAATAATGGACTTAGCATGTTAAAAGAGACTAAAAAGATTAATACAACTAATCTGGCCAGAATATGAGGAAATGCACATTTTCACACATGATAGGTGGGAGAAAAAACTGGTATAATGTTTCTTGACGACAGCATAATACTTAGGAAAATTCAAATTGTGCATATATTCAGCCCAAATTTTATTTGCTAATAATTTAAGGAAGCATATCAATGTGCAAAGGTAAATTTACAATCATATCTGTTGTACCACTATTTGTAATAAGCTAAAATTTAACATTAATTGAAAGGCCATCAGTGAATGGCATTTTGAATATAGTATGGATGATCCATATAGTGAAATAAGTTGAAGCTGTTGAGGAATGAAACAGATCTTAATGGATTGAAAACTCTGATCTCATAAATCAATGTACATAACAGTGTGTGAATGTTCATATTGTATAAGTACACATACGCTCAATTATAAACAATATGTATGTATATGCATAAAAGCATAAGTAGAGTCCTTAATAAATCCATTTCTAAAATTTAATAATCTTAATCTAATATCATAATAATGGATTCTGTTTCATGGTGCATTTTTTACAAAGTGTAAAACTTATTTGCTCATGAAGCCCATAACAATCTGATTATATGCATAAATAATATGTATGTATAAATAGTGGATCTACTTTCCTTATTTAATGACAATTTTCAAAAAGAAATTTTCACATCTACTACTTGTGAACTTTATTATTATCATAGAACATGTTATTGACATAGATTAAAATAATTATACTGAGAAAAATAGTAACTGTTACATACCCCATTCTGTCCACAATTTGTAGTATATTTTGTTATATTTAGTTCACTAAAATTTCTGCATTCTCGGGAGTGACATACCTAAAATGTTATGAAGCAAACAGCAACAAAAATACTAAATGTAAAGTCAAGAGATAAGGAATCATATTCATACAAATATTATATGCACAGGAGATATACAGAACAGATGAATCTGAATTTCATAGCATTTTAATAAAAACCCATAGGAACAATTCTAAATGGTATGTTATTAATAAGAAATATTACAAATGAGATATTTTCAGAAAGCAGAAATATACATTTTTATTACACACTGGTACAAGAAAAAAGTAGCCAGCTTGTACTAGCAATTTTTAATTTATAGGACCTCTTTTAACACTTTTTATGCACCTTTCTTTTATTTACTCATATAGACCCTTAGAAGGAGATATTTTTGGGCTCATTTTGTATTTGAGTAGTAGGGTGGCTGTGTCAAATGGTGGGTAGTACTTTGAGAAATCTCCATACTGTTTCTCAAAGAGGTTGTACTAATTTACATTCCCAACATCAGTGTATAAACTTTCCTTTTTCTCCACATTCTTGACATCTATTGTTTTTTGACTTTTTAATAATAGACATTCTGACTTGTGTAAGACGGTATCTCGTTAAGGTTTTACTCTGATAGTTGGTGATGTTGGGCATTTTTCCTATGTTTTTTGGCCGCTTGTATGTCTTATTTTGAGAAGTGTCTGTTCATGTCCTTTGCTCACTTGTTAGTGGGGTTACTTGGTTATTTTTGTCGCTGTTGTGTTGTTTGAGTTCCTTGCAGATTCGGATATTAGTCCTTTGTTGGATTTATAATTTGCAAATATTTTTCCCATTCTGTAGATTATCTGTTTACTCTGTTGTTTCCTTTGCTGTGCAGAAGCTTTTTAGTTTAATTAAGTCCCATTTATCTACTTTTGTTTTCATAGTGTTTGCTTTTGAGGACTTGGTCACGTATTCTTTGCCTGGGCCAATGTCCAAAAGAGTTTTTTGTAGGTTTTCTTCTAGGGTTATAGTTTCATATCTTATATTTAGGTCTTTAATCCACCTTGAGTTAGTTTTTGTATATACTGAGAGGTATGGGTCCAGTGTCATTCTTCTGCATATGCTACCCAGTTTTCCCAGCACCTTTTCGAAGATGGTCCTTTCTCCAATGTATGTTCTTGCTGGCTTTATTGAAGATCAGTTTGATGTAAATATGTGGATTTCTGGGATCTCTTTTCTGTTCCATTGATCTATGTGTCTATTTTTATAATTATATCTTGCTGTTTTGGTTACCATTGGATTGTAGTGTAACTTAAAGCTAAGTAATGTGATGCTTCCAGCATTGTTCTTTTTGGTTAGGATTACTTTGACTAATCAAGCTGTTTTCGTGTCATATAAATTTCACATTTTCTTATTTCTGTGAAAAATGACATTGGTATTTTGATAAGGATTGCATTGAATCTGTAGATTGTTTTGAGAAGTATGGTCATTTTGATGATATTGATTCTCCCAATCCATGAGCACAGGATGTTTTCCCATTTGTTTGCATCATCTATAATTTATTTTATTTATTTAATTCAGTGTTTTGTAGTTCTTGTAGAGATCCTTCTCCTCCTTGGTTAAATATATTCCTAGCTATTTAATTTTATTTTTTGGTAGCTATTGTAAATGAGACTGTCTTCTTGATTTTGTCCTTGGCTAGATCATTATTGGTATATAGAAACACTACTAGTATCTGTCTATTAATTTTGTATCATGAAACTTTATTAAACTTATTTATCAAATCTAAGAGTTTTTTTGGTGGAGTCATTAGGGTTTTCTAGACAAAAACTCAATCATCAGGAATAATTTGACTTCCTCTTTTCCAGTCTGGATGACTTTATTATTTTCTCTTGCCTTATTGTTATGGTGAGGACTTCCAGTACTATGCTAAGTAAGAGTGGTAAAAGTGGGCATCCTTGCCTTGCTTTAGTTCTTACAGGAAATGCTTTCAATTTTTCCTTGTTAAGTATAATGTTGGCTGTATGTTGGCTGTATGGTTGTTGTAGATTGCCTTTATGATGTTGAAGAATGTTCCTTGTATGCTGAGTTTATTGCGAATTTTTATCCGAAGAGATGCTGAAATTTATCCAATGATTTCTCTGCATCAGTTGAGATTATCATATGGTTTTTATCTTTCATTCTGTTGATGTGATGGATCAAATTTTTGATTTGCATGTGTTGAACCATCTTTGGATCCCTGGGATGAATCCCACATAATCACGATGTATTATGTTTTTGATGTGCTGTTGGATTTGATTTGCTAGGATTTTCTTGAGGACTTTTGCGTCTGTGTCTTCCAGAGATATTGGTCTTTACTTTTTTTTATGCCGTTGTTTGGCTTTGGTATCAGATGATACTCGCCTTGTAGAATGAGTTAGAGAGAATTTCCTCCTCCTTGATTTTTAACAATTGTTTCAAAAAGATTGGTATTATTCTAATTATTAGTTATTCTATTTATTAGTTAGTCTAATTATTAGTTATTCTATTCCGGAGGTAGAATTGGGCAGTGAATCCACATGGTCCTAGCCTTTTTTGTTGTTGTTGGGATAATTTTTACTACTGATTCAATCTCACTAGTCATTATTGGTCTCCTTGGGAGTTGTATTTCTTCCTGGTTCAATCTTGGTAGGTTTTATGTTTTCAGGAATTTATCTATTTCCTCTAGGTTTTCTAGCTTGTGAGCATAAAGTTGTTCATAATAGTCTCTAATAATCTTTTGTATTTCTGTGGTGAGTTATAATGCCTGCTTTTTTATTTCTCATTTTGTTTGTTTAGATCTTCTATCTTTTCTTCTTGTTTAGTCTAGCTGGTAGTGATAGTGACAGGGGCCAGAGAAATCCTAGGCAGAAGAGGGTGGGTCCCTGGCAAAGCCCCACCATCAAGCCGAAAAGCCTGAGACCGCAGCCCAAAGTGAGAACTCATAACCCTGTTTTCCCGCTCGAATGCTGCCTTTCCCTAAACATCCATGGCCCACCCCACCCCCTCAACCTTTGCCTATGAAGACCCCCAGACTCAGCCGGCAGAGAGGAGAAGCAGCTGGATACTGGGGACTACAGCCGGACATTGGAGAGAAGTGG
The DNA here is from genome assembly GCF_000001405.40 of Homo sapiens. NCBI lineage: Eukaryota > Metazoa > Chordata > Mammalia > Primates > Hominidae > Homo > Homo sapiens. Next base: position 39,470,748 of record NC_000008.11, read on the forward strand.
CTTGACTTCAGAGGGACAGCTTGACAGTGTAACTTGGAGGAGAGTCCAGCTGGAGATGGCCGGACTTGAGGGGAAGATTATCTGCTCGTCCCCTTTCCAGCTCCCCTTTCCACTGAGAGCCACTTTCCCTGGCAATAAAATCTCTCGCATTTACCATCCTTCAATTCGTTTGAGCGACCTCATTCTTTTCTGGATGCCAGACAAGAGCTCAGGAGCCACGAGTGTGGATACAAAAGGCTGCCACACTGGCCCTTTGCCCTCGCTGGCAGAGGACAGCTGCGGGCCCACTGAGCTGTTAACACTTAAGCCATCTGCAGACTGCAGAGCTAAAAGAGCACTGAAACATGTCCTCTGGAGCTTCAGGGGTCGCAGGCACCCCCCTTAGATGCTGCTGTGGGGCCCGCAGGGAGTTTGTTTCTGCCAGCACCCAAAAGCACTTGCTCCGGCTCCTTTACCCGCTCACCTGCACGCTCCCTCCTGCGAGGGGTGGAATGCAGCAGGTCCCAGCGAGTGAAGCTCACTCCTGCCAGCACCGCAGTGGCTGGCTGGTTTCTGTGCTCGTATACTCCAGTTCCCGCCCCGTTTGCTCCTGTGCTCCCTCCCGCGAGGAGTTGAGCGCAACAAGCTAAGTAAACAGGGCATCCCTGTCGTGAGTCCAACGAAAGAGTTGGGGAAATACCGTGGTTCAGTAGTGTATCAATTTTATCTTTTTGAGGAACAAACCTTTTGTCCTGTTGATCCATTGGGTTTGTTTTGTTTGTTTAATCTCTGTTTAGTAATGACGGACCTCTCTTCTCACTCTGTTAGTTCTCATGAGAGCTGGTTTTTTTGTTTGTTTGTTTTTTTCAAGGAGTCTAGAACTTTCCTCCTCTGTCTCTTGCTTCTTCTCTCACCGTGTGATCTCTGCACATACCAGTTCCTCTTCTCTTTCCACCAAGAGGAAGCAGCGTGAAGCCCTCACCAGAAGCAGATCCTGGCACTATGCTTCTTGTTCAGTCTGCAGAACTGTGAGCCAAATAAACCTATTTCCTTTATAAGTCACCTAGCGTTAGTATTCCTTCATAGCAACACAACAACTGACTAAGACACATTAAATCTCACAAGCTAAGGGGCTTCGTCCCTCAAGACTGGCCCCATATCAGGTGCAAGTATCAGGTAAACCATACTTCTGACAGACCAGATATAAATTAGGGGTTCTCATGACACCCTCCACAGGGTAACAATGTTAGAATGGCTCACAGAACTCAGGAAAATACTTTACTTGTATTTAATGGTTTGTTACATAAGATACAACTCAAGAACAGCTACATGGATGATACATTTATGGCAAGGTATTGGAGGAGAGGAGAAGAATTTCCATGCTTTCTCCAGCTGCACCACCCTCCCAGCAAATTGATATGTTTATTAACCCAGAAGATCATTGAATCTCTTTGTTTGAGGGTTTTAATAGAGATCAATTTCCAGCCCTGCCTCTCTTCTTCCAAAAGTCCAGTGAGTCAGGCTGAAAGTTCCAACCCTCTAATCACTTGGTCATCCTGATAACCAGCCCTGTTATAAGGCCAGCAAGGGGTCCCACCCTAAATCGCCTGATGGAAATAAGCACAATTTCAGGTGTGACTGAAAGGTGTTTATTCATTCTCAAGAACAAAAAACACTCCCATCACTTAGGAAATTCCAAGGGTTTTATTAGAAGCTGTGTGCCAAGAATCAGAGGCAGAGACCAAATATGTTCTGTGTTATGCTATATATATTATATATATAAAAAAGATAAAATTAGTATATCTTTTATATATAAAAGATAAAATTAGTTAATATATTTAAGTATTTATACTTCTGTATTTATAGTAAATATTTTTTCAGTTTGTTTTAAATGGTCTTTGGAGGAATGACGTATTACTTTACAATATAGTCAGCATCAGTATGTTCCTTTGATTAATTCATTACTTTTATGTGTGAATATCTTTTCCCATTCTGAGATAAGTATACTTTTCACTTAAATTTATCTTTTTATTTTAAAAATATATTTCTATATGTAAATTATTTTTATAAAAATGTGTGGTAATTGTATACTTTTTAATTAGTCAACTTATTTTTCAGTGTTACTAGTTTGAAAAGCCTTTATTAGGTATCTCAAAATTCTTAAGAAAGATAAAAATTAAAAAAACTTAAACACTATGTTTTATTGTCATGTTTTATGTGAAGGCCACATTTTAGACAAAATATGCTTATGGAAGAAGTAGTAGGAGAGCAGGTTAATGAGAAAATAATTGCTTTACTTCAATTGTAACCAAAATAATTTTTTGTCAATCACTACAAGACTAAATATTTGTCTTTTTTGGGTTTTGTTTTCTTTAAAGTTCTTGTTATTCAGGTTGTTCTGACATTTTTTTTTTGCATCATTTTATTCTTTTTTGTTCTTGGTTTACACAAATCATCACAGATCAGATCCTGGCCTAACAGGGAGTCTTAGATTCTCAAGCAAGACGAAACAAGTTTAAATATCAGTAGTAAAAGTTTAATAAAAATAACAGATAGTAAAACAAGAATTTCTTTAACCAGCCGAAATTCTGATCAGTGTATCTTAAGATCATGATATTGTAACCAAAATTTGTAGCATTCATTATAAATGAAAATTTAATCATCCTCTCAATCTCTCTCTCTCTCTCTGATACACACACTTCAGACACTCACAGACAAATCCACCATATATCGTATCAATAAAAATTTTATTTACCTTGTGTTGGCCACATGCAGTTATATCTTCTGTATAGGTCTCCGATTGTTTTGAACCATTTCTTGCATGTGCGGACAAACATACGTGACCTCTAAGGTAAGTATATTGTATGTCTAAGTCTGTCATTGGTACTAGTTCTGAATGTATCCAGTGACAAACAATCTTTCCACAAAGGATATCACTAGCAACATAAGACAGAAAAAAGTTACCCATTTGTCACTTAGGTACACAATTAGGTTAATAACAATTCAAAAGTGAGGATAATTCAAAATATTACTCAGATCATAACAGCAAAGCTTTTCACAGCACACAATGCCATATTAAATGCAACAAATAAGTCTATCTGTATATACTAGATACTGTCTCTCATTTATTTCAAGTCACTCTTTGCAGTACATACACAAAACACAACGCACGCACTTGGAAGATGTATACTTTTCTAAATACGTACAAAAAATCACAACGGGAACCACAGTTTCCAAATTTGTCATTTTGAAAATTCACTTCTTCTGTACACAGAAGATTAGCAGACTTAGCAACTGAAAACATAAGAAGTCATAGTTACTTATATTAAAATATTAAATGGTAAAAGTGTGGTAAGTCAATAGAAAGATATCTAGACAACAACAAGGCCCAGTCAGTGTAATCTGCTATAAATTTTTGATGTCATCTACTGGCTTTACAAGGAGAAGCACTTACTGAAAACTACACACATGAGAAGAGAAAAATTCATGTTATAGTGTAGAAATAATTAAGAAATCAGTCACCTGCTCTCTTATCTACTATTCTAATAGTCTACTCCCTTTGCAACAACCACCTTAAGTTGGACTAATGTCCTACTGTTGCATCCTGTAGTTATTAGGTCTATTATAACTCTTGACATCATTCAAAGTTGCTTTGATTTGCAATTTTATTTCTAAATTTGAATGTAAAACAACACTTTCAGGGATGGCTCTTGGGTGGGTTACTGACTTTAGAATAGCTACAGTTTAAATATAAACCTCAAAAAAAAAAGGTAAAACAATTACATTTTCCAAATAACTGTGAACACTGTCTATCCCTTTCTCTGCATACTCCTTTAAAGCAATAGCTAGTCTTATTACTGCAGTATTCTAAATCAGCAGCTTTCACATCAGGTACACAAAACTCAGATGTTCCATTGCAATATTCTGGAAAATCACACATATCTACACTTTTTCTGCAGACATGGCCTCTTTCGTGGATCTGTGAGAGAAAGAAAAAAAAATACATTTATTTTTCAGGCTCAATCCAGTTTGCCTCCATTACCAAGAATTGAAATGGACTAAATCAAACAAGGAGCTCCAATGGCCTATCTATACTGCATATTGAGAATGCTTGTTTGAGAATTGTCAGCTTAAAAGCAAGGATATCCAAGAGATGCATAGAATAAAAATCCTGTTTGAAACAAACACTCACTAGAGCATGAAGCCAGACCTATCTTCAATTTTAACCTAAGTTTGTGTTTATTTTTCTTCGCTTGGACATTCTTCATCCAGTTACAACTGATCAATACATAATCAGTATTAATGTTTTTATTTAAAAATTACCGGTAGGAATATCTAAGCACTCATTAGAAATAGGTAATAAAGGCCAGGTGTGGTGGCTCACGCCTGTAATCCCAGCACTTTGGGAGGCTGAGGCAGGCGGATCACCTGAGGTCAGGAGTTCAAGATCAGCCTGGCCAACATGGTGAAACCCCATCTATACTAAAAATACAAAAATTTTCTGGGTGTGGTAGCATGCTCCTGTAATCCCAGCTACTTGGGAGGCTGAGGCAAGAGAATCACTTGAACCTGGGAGGTGGAGGTTGCAGTGAGCTGAGACTGCACCACTGCACTCCAGCCTGGGCAACAAGAGTGAAAGTCCTTCTCAGGAAAAAAAAAAAGAAAGAAAGAAAAAGAAATAGGTAATAAAACTTACCGTACAAGTTTTATTGTTACAGCATGATCCAGTGCCACATTCTGCAGATCTAACTAGAGTACAATCTGCAGGATTACAGCATTTTTTATGAGTGCATGCCTAAAAGCAAATACATTAGATTTAAATGTTTTACATCAGATTTTAGTCAAATAAATAGTTTTATTTATTTTCGAAATAAAGTATCTCTCCAACTTGATTCTAATCACACCATGACTTTTGGATTCTGTATTTTTACACCACTTCATTTAAACTTAATGTACTTTCCCTATAAGAAAAAAAAAGATGACAATGAAAATATTCACAATTTCATTCTAAAGAAATTGATCTATTAAAAATTTAGTGCAATTTTTTAAAAAAATTATTTTTGTTTATAAAAACATGCATGCAAGTTTTTATATTTTTTTACTTACTATACCATAAGTACTTTTCCATATCATCAAGTCCTCTCAAGGGGAGTGGCTGGAAGAGTTTGGAGGAGCAAGATAGAAAAAGCCTACATTTGGCCAGGTGCAGTGGCTCACCTGTGATCCCAGCGCTTTGAGAAGCAAAGGTGGGCAGATTGCTTAAGCTCAGGAGTTTGAAACCAGCCTGGGCAATGTGGCGAGACCCTTTCTATACCCAAAATACCAAAAATTAGCCGAGCATGGTGGTGTGTGCCTTTGGTTCCAGCTATTTGGGAGGCTGAGGTGGGAGGATCGCTTGAGTCAGTCGGGGTGGAGGTTGCAATGAACTGAGATCAGGCTGCTACACTCCAGCTTGGGTGACAGAGCAAGACTGTATATCAATAAATAAATATGAATAAAAAGCACAGATTCTTGTTAGGGATTAAAAGACAAGAAGATGAGGGAAAGTTTTAAACTTCTTAGAGATTAGATAAATGCTCATGACCAGAATGTTGATAGAAATATAGATAGCAAAGGTCATTCTCATGAGGTTAAGATGAAACTGAGGAATAAGGTTTTAGAAGCAAGGGCCATCCTTGCTATAAACTGGCCAAGAACTTGGCTGAACTGTGACCATGCCTGAGGGGTTTGTGGAAGGCCAAACTTAAGAATGATGAACTAGGATATCTGGCAGAAGAAATTTTACATAGCAAAGTTCTCAGAATGTTGTGTGGTTGCTTCTAATTTCTTATTGTAAACTGCTAGAGAAAAGAGGAATAGAGCAGAACAACTTGAAAAACTCATAGTTTGCAATATAGTAAGGAAGGAAAGCGCATTCACAGGAGAGAAAACCAAGGATGTAGCACAGGGACACCTTTGCTTAAGAGATTAACAAAGATAGAAGAAAGCGGATATGGTCAGGATCGGTGTTCCTGCCCAATTCTCCCTACAATGTCAATTGTAATCCCCAATGTTGGAGGTGGGGTCTAGTGGGAGGTGGCTGAATCATAGGGGTAGCTTCTCATGGTTTAACACCATCCCACTGTGGAGCTGTTCTCATGATAAAGTTCTCACAAGATTTGGTTGTTTAAAAGTGTGTATCACCTCTTCCTTCTCTCTCATCCTCCTGCTCTGGCCATGTGAAATACGCCTACTTCCCCTTCACCTTCTGACATGATTGTAAGTTTCCTGAGGCCTCCCCCAGCCATGCTTCTTGTAGAGCCAGCAGAACAATAAACCAATTAAACCTTTTTTCTTTTTTTATAAGTTACCCAGTACCAAGTATTTCTTTATAGCATTGAGAGAATGGACTAATACAAAAGCCAAGTGCTATTCCTCAAGCAATGAAAGAAAGGCCCCAAAGGCATTTCAGATACCTTCGAGGCCCAGACGCCTAGGAGGGCTGAATGGCTTCAGAGGACAAGCCCAGGGCACTCTCCATGAGCTCACTGACCAATTCCACCTCAGGATGCTGCTCCTGGCCCTGCTGCACAATGCCCTGCAGCTACCACGGCCTCAGCTGCAACGGCCATAGGTACAGCTTCTATCGCAGCTCCAGATGGTACAAGTCATTAACCTTGGTGGAATCCACATGGTGCTAATTTTGCAGGCTTGCAGAAAGTAAGAACTGTGGAAGCATGGCAGCTCCCACTCAGATTTCAAAGGATGTCCTTGAAAGCCTGGAGGCCTGTCAGAGACTTGTTGCAAGGGCAAAGCCACCACAGAGTCCCCCCAGAGCAGTGCCTAGTGGAACTGTGAGAGTGGAACTATCACAGAGACCCCAGAACTATACAGCAGCCAGCATGCAATGCCAGCCTGGTGGTGTTGGGTTGATTGAGCCCAGCCAAACCATAGGGATGGGGTGACCCAATGCCCTGGAGCCCACTGTACCTGTTTATAGAAGATGCAGGACATGTCATCAAAGGAAATTATTCAGGAGTCTGAATGTCCATCATTGGCTCTCTTGGGTTTCAGACTTGCTTGAGGCCTGTTACCCATTTCTTCTTGTCTATTTCTCCTTTTCAAAATGGGGTTGTGTATGCTGTGCTTTTAAGTAAATAACTTGTGTTGATTTTACAGGTTCTTAAAGTATCCCCTAACAGACATATTGGCAGTCTTCCCCAAGGGACTCCTTGTGGCTAAAATGAGACACACCAGAAACCAGAATATCATGGCTAGCAAAATGAAGGGGTAGTCATGTATTCTGGTATAATTAATTCTATGCCAGCTGATAACCCTCTCCCGCACCTTGTGGTCCTGCCACAACTCCAACTGGACAGAAAACTGGTCTTATAAACATTCTTTATTGATAAACACTCAGGAACTTCAAGCCAGTTTCAGGCAACTTATAGAGACTGCGCACAAACTGTCTTTGTGCCCTACGGTCCCTTTTTGACATAAAGAGCCAAATTCCACCTCATTTTAGTGATAATTAAAAGTGAAGTGAATGTAGAACATATGTTACATGAATGTTTACTCACTGTACACACGCCTGACTGCCCTCATGAATATTCATAGATTTCTCCCAGTCTTGCTCAGTATGTGTGTAAAGTTGACTCTGAAAGACATATATACCACCTCCCTCTTCCTTTCTGCAGAGAATGAACTTTTGGCTTTCACTGGAAGCTATGTTCCCCAATCTACAGATTGCTTCCGCCTCTGAAAATGTCTTTTCCTTTTCTTCCTTCATGGATATCAAAGTCTTTTGTTAACAGTTCTGGCAACATGGGATGGGATCCAAAGTGGCCCCTGATTTCTTTCTTGGCACTGCCTTGAAAAATTCCTAAGTTCAATTGCATCCTGGTTACACTGGGCAAGAACTGGGTAAGTGCTATTGAATCTGAGAGTTCAGGCTTTTAGATTGAAATCTAGGGAAATGTTTTCTTTAAGAAAGTTCTGCCCATTCATCTGTGGCCTAGACCTACCTGCAGTCCAGCAGGGATGCCTGCACTAACGTTGCACTGGGAAGGCCACCTTCTTTAGGTGAGTACTGTGCGTAACTTACCCAGTAAGGAAATGGTTTTGGACCAACTGCTGTCAGAGACTCTGGAGGTTTACATGTTTAAAAACTATAGGAAAAATTCTTGTTAATATTTGGTATCCTGGATAAAAATAAGTCGGTATGACTTAAAGCTTTCTTGGTCACAATGGGGAACTTTTAACATGCCTCAATCAGTTTATCTACATGTGCAATAAAGAACAGAAGATTCCAAACCTCTCAAAAGCAGTGTGAGGTCTTTTTCAGTTGCTAAAATGAAAGCTCAAAGTGAAATCAAGGATCCCTAGTTGCCTCTTTAAAAGAGACTAAATCAAAACTTAATCAAGATCTTAAAAAATTTGAAAATTCTTCTAAATCGGACCCTAAATCCAAAACTAAAAAGGACACTGTGCCTTCTTGCCTTTCTCCTTGAACTCCACCAATGCCACCCCCATATGCATTAGCCCCATGCTGCCAGTCACTTCTCTCTGAGCTGCCTTTCTTTCCTTCACCTTCTATTCATGAGCAACCCCCTCCAGTTGCTAATTCTGCAACCCCTCTGATCACACCTTTTAAAGGGATTGCTAACTAGGCTTGCAAATTACCTTTTACTGTCCTGGGACAAAGTCTCAGCTTTCTTCTAGCGTTAGTCAAAGAGTTTTCTAATCCTAAAATAGACTCACTTGAGTTTGAATGCCGCTTTAGTTTGATTATAAATGTTTACCAGCCAGGACCTCCTGATGTTCACTAGTTGATTCAAGTCTTAGTGGAAAATGTCTTAACCCAAGGATGGATGTGTTTAGCTGACTGGACTAAGCCCCAAGATGATTTTCAGCATACTAAGGAAATAGCCTTTGAAGTGGTGAGAAAAACAATTGTTGAATTGATTAAAGCCATCTCAGCACTCTTTCCTTGACAAACTAATTGGAATGCCATTGACTCAGAAAAAAGACAAATCTGTCATTGATTCCTTTGACTGATTCAAAAGGCTTTCTTTTTTCTTTTTCTTTTTTTTTTTTTGTTTTTTTTTGAGACGGAGTCTCGCTCTGTTGCCCAGGCTGGAGTGGAGTGGTACAATCTTGGCTCACTGCAACCTCCGCCTCCTGGGTTCAAGTGGTTCTCCAGTCTCAGCCTCCTGGGTAGCTGGGATTACAGGTGAATACCACCACACCTGGCTAACTTTTTTGGTATTTTTTAGTAGAGAAGGGGTTTCACCATGTTGGCCAGGCTGCTCTCAAGCTCCTGACCTCAGGTGATCCACCCACCTTGGCCTCCCAAAGTGCTGGGATTATAGGTGTGAGTGACCGCTCCCGGCCGATTCAAAAGGCTTTCTACAAAATTCTGGTATCAAAGATCTAACTGATGATATTATAAATCTTTTTTAACTCACTTTCCCTCAAGTAAGTTAAAGCCCTTAGCACCCTGCTTAAGCAATATGATCCCAATTGGCCTTCTAAGAGACCCTATGATATAGCTTCTTTGGCCAATCGCTTCTCTAAAATCCTAGAAAAGAAAAAAGAGGCTAAAGCCACCAAGGCACTAGAATGGCAAGAAAGACAGATAAACTCATGGCCTTGCATATTCAACAACTCATAAAGTCTCTCCCAGATCAGCAAACTCCATTTAATAGTTAGAAATTAGTTTCGTCAGTTGCAAGAGGTATAATTTGCTTTTTCTGGCATTTGAAATGAGACTGTAAAAAATATAAATGAGGGCTTCAGAAGGACACCAATAAGGTAAAGAAACCCCCTTCTGCAGAAACAATAAGAGAAATACTTATTGATCAGAACTAGGGGTACTTCAGGGAAACATGGGGGATTTTTCCTCTCCTTTCAGTCAGTTGATTGGGAGAGGTTTATCTTAAAAATTAACAACAGAATAGTCCAAGCCCTAATAGATACTGCATCTGTGCTTAACCTTGACTCCTTTTAAAATCCAACCACCCAGAGTGACCAAGCTATTCAAATGGCTGAGTCACTAACCAATCTAAGACTATCTTCAAGTCTGAACTAGTTTCTTACCAACTAGGGCCTCTTACTGGCATTGCAGCTTTTCACTTCTCCATTTTGCCACAATACACCTAATAGGAAGGGACTTTCTTGAAAAACACCAAGCTTGTTTTTCTTTTACATTGTTTTAAAAGTTTCCTTGCCTGAGGCTTCAGCCTCTGACCTCAGCCATGTATTCCCCTTATTAGTCTCCAGTCATCCAGTTGATCCTGGACATCCAACTCTAAAGTAACTGTTTGAAACCCTTTGGGAATAAATCAATACGAATGTCAGCCCGATCCAGTCAGCACCACCCATTTCTACACAAATAGATCCTAACAAACCTCTACTGAACATAAAATAATATCCCCTCCACCATGAGGCTTTAGCTGGTATACAACCTATTGTCAGTAATTTCATTTTCAAGGGACTTATTAGTCCATTTATACCAGTCCCTGTAACATACCCCTTCTACCTGTTTCTAAGCTAATAGAAAGGGATGGAGACTTGCCCAGGATCTTAGAGCTATTCATAACATTTTATTCCCTTGCATCCTGTTGTGCCTGTTCCACATACCCTCTTATCCAATATACATTCTAACATCCAATATTTTTCCGCTGTTGATCACTATAGTACTTTTTTCACCAACCCGGTTGACCTCAAGAGTCCATTTCTTTTTGCCTTCACATGGAAGGGCCATCAGTTCACCTGAACAGTGCACCCTGAAGGATGCACTGAAAGCCCTATCTACTTTTCCCAGATCTTGCAGGCTGACTTAAAAGACATAACCTTCTCGATACGAACAGACATTTCTCAAAAGAAGACATTTATGCGGCCACCAAACATATGAAAAAAAGCTCATCATCACTGGTCATTAGAGAAATGCAAATCAAAACCACATTAAGATACCATCTCACACCAGTTAGAATGGTGATCATTAGAAAGTCAGGAAACAACAGATGCTGGAGAGGATGTGGAGAAATAGGAATGCTTTTACACTGTTGGTGGGAGTGTAAATTAGTTCAACCATTGTGGAAGACAGTGTGGCGATTCCTCAAGGATCTAGAACTAGAAATACCATTTGACCCAGAGATCCCATTACTAGGTATATACCCAAAGGATTATAAATTATTCTACTATAAAGCCACATGCATATGTATGTTTATTGCAGCATTGTTCACAATAGCAAAGACTTGGAACCAACCCAAATGCCCACCAGTAGATAGACTGGATAGACTGGATAAAGAAAATGTGGCATATATACCCCATGGAATACTAAACAGCCATAAAAAAAGGAGGAGTTCATGTCCTTTGCAGGGAAATGGATGAAGCTGGAAACCATCATTCTCAGCAAACTAACACAGGAACAGAAAACCAAACACTGCATGTTCTCACTCATAAGTGGGAGTTGAACAATGAGAACACATGGACACAGGGAGGGGAATATTACACACCAGGGCCTGTTGGGGAGATGGGGGACTAGGGTAGGGATAGCATTAGGAGAAATACCTAATGTAGATGATGGGTTGATGGGTGCAGCAAACCACCATGGCATATGTATACCTATGTAACAAACCTGCATGTTCTGTAAATGTATCCCAGAACTTAAAGTATAATTTTTTTAAAAAAGACATAACCTTCTCACATAGCTCAACTCTACTGCAATACATTGGTGATTTGCTTTTATGTTCTCCCTTATGAAATACCTGTCTCACTGACACTCTCCATTTACTTCACCAGCTATGTCTTAAGGGCCATAAAGATTCTAAAGATAAACTACAGTGTTGCTGACAATTAAACCTCTTGGACATCTGCTGACCCCTTGGGACTCAACATCAACCCTTTCTGCCTTCAAGGCATATTTTTCTTCCCCATTCCCACTATGAAAAGACAAAACTTAGGGCCTTTCTAGGACTCATGGACTATTGCAGAGCTTAGAACACTAATTTTTCTTTACTAGCACAACCTTTATATACCCTGATTAAGGCCTCTTCTCCTGACCTCCTTACCTGGACTACCGATGGTGAACAGGACTTTAAGTCTCTGAAAGATAAGCTGTCCTTTGCCCAATACACCCCTCAATTTGGGACACTATTTATGACCTCCCTTTTTCCCCTTTTTGTTCATGAGCAAGAGGGAGTTTGAACTGAACCACATGGGGGTAATAATTTACCCAATTGGTTACTAGATTGCCAAACTGGATTGTGTCTATCCGGGGATACCACCATGTTTAAAGGCAGTTGCCACAATCACTGTCCTTATAAAAGCCACCGAGAAAATAGTAATGGGATTTCCTCTCACTGTTTATGCTCCTCACTCAGTTAAAGCCCTTCTCACTTCTCGCCAAATCCAGTATCTTTCAGCCAGTCGATTGACTGCCTATGAAATACTTCTCTTTCCCAACCTATTTTCCATTGTAATCTCCTTAACTCTGCCCCTCTTTTGTCTTCACCAGAAGATTCTCTATGACTGCATTACCTTTACACTCTTCTTTCACCCCATATGAATTTAAAGGAAATGCCCTTACCCAATCCTGATTTTGTCTGGTAGATTGATGGGCCTTCTTTCAGAGACCCTACTGGCTTCTATTAAGCTAGGTTTGCAGTTGTTTCCCTGACAGAAACTATTGAATCAGGCCTTCTGCCCAACAGGCAGAATTCCATGCTCTTACCCGAGTTTGCCTGTTGGCCAAAGATAAAACTGCAAACATTTACACAGATAGCAGATACGCTTTTTGGGTTGCTCATGACTTTGGAATTCTCCGGAAACAGAGGATTTCTAACCTCTTCTGGACTGCTCATCAGAAACAGAGACCACATTTTGTCATTTCTTGATGCCATTCAAGTTCCTAGGACTCTGGCCATGATTAAAATTCAAGGCAATTCCTTTAGACATACCGAAAATAGCAAAGACAAACATCTAGCTGAGAGTGCAGCTAAGTCTGCAGCCTTAAACAATACCCCCCTTCTGTTATGCCTGTCTTAATCCAGGCTCCATCCTTACATCCTGTTTCTTCTAAAAATCTCTTGAAACAACATCTCAAAAAAGGTGCTCAGAACTTGAAAAGGAAAATTAGACAAAACAAGGCTGTACCTATAATCCCAGATCCCAACTATGGGCTAAACCTAACAGACATTCAGTCCTTCTAGAAAATTTACCAAGGGTCACTTTTACTTTTATATATAACCCCACCATTAGAGTTCTGACCAAAGGATCCAATGGTGTAAACAGTGCTGTTGGGGATTGCTTCTTAAGCTAATATATTAGGCAAAATTCACCCTTATACAATGCAGGGAAGTCCTTAAGGGCTACCCTAGGCAAAGTCCCAATGCGAAAAGGGCCTTTCTAAAACTGGACTACTGATTTTATCCAATTTTCCCTTTCTCAGTGATACAAATATGTTCTTGTCATGATAGATATGTAGTTTTACTGGGGGAAAGCTTTCCCCTGAAGACAAGCCACAGTGATGCCAGTAGCCAAAGTACTTCATGAGAAAATTATCTCTACCTATGGAGTTTCCACCAAGTTCCACAGTGATCAGGGAACTCATTTTACTGGACAAGTATTAAAATGAGTTGCTAATGTTTGGCCTATTCTAAGACATTTCAGCGGTGTTTACCACACCGAATCTTTTGGGCTTGTGGAATGAACCAAGAGAATATTCAACTCAATTGGCTAAAATTACAAGCAGCTTCAATCTGCCCTGGCCCAAAGCTCTTCCTCTGGGTTTGGTAATTGTGAAGTCCATCCCCACCAGAATTGCTTTTCCCCTTTTGAGGTGGTCACAGGTCAATCCATATATTTAACCGAAGAAATATTTTCCCCTGCTTAGATACAAGGCGATCTCCTGACCTACTGCCAAGTCCTGGAGGACTTGTTAATGCTCTAAAGACTAACAGCTGGTTGTGAATCCCTTTACAGTCATCAATCAGGAGATGAACCCCAATATCATAATGTCCAGCCTAAAGACTTTATATATTAGAAGAGATATTGCTGAATGACTCCCTCCAATCCCACTAGAAAGGTCCATTTCAAGTACGCTTAATTAACCCATTTGCTGCTAAGGTACAGGTCATTACTCCTAGGTACACATATCTTACCTAAAAACAACACCAGACTCTGCTGAGAACTGGACTTCAGCATCAATATCTGACACTAAGCTCAGGTTGACTAAAGCCTCAATGCCAAGACAAGAAAAGGATGACAACTGAGGTAGACTGCCCTCTCACAAAACTCCAAGCCTATATGGTCTGGATGAATCAATGTTTATATTTACCTTATAATAGTCATTGTTCATATCACTTCAGGAGTTTTCACGATTGTTACTATCCAATGTAAAATAGAACACTTATCTTTGCCTTACTTATTCTAAACTAACATGCCGAGCCTTTATGATTCCTTTATAACTGTTTCCATTATTATAACATTAGCAATCTTGTCTATCCTGGATATCTTATGCCATCCATGCTGGGATAGTTCTGTGTATTCCAATACTTAGACACCCATAAGCCTTTGCAAAACTATAAGACTTTTTGTCTGGCTAAACTCTTTGTTCCAGAGCTTTGTGAATGGTTGTGTTGATTAGTCCAGTTCAAAATAAATTTTACTCTATTCTTTATAACTGTCCCTTTGTCTCACTGCATAGAGTGACATGATAACACTTTGGCTAAGCTGTCCTGAAGTGTTGTTACAAATAGAAACCTATCAGATGGTTAGATTCACCAATAACTTCCCACATTCATTCATGGTAAACATGTGACATTGACAATACTTGTCACTGACTTCTCATGTATCCTTAACATCACCACTTATCTGGATCAACTGCTTTCCCTGTTGTCTCTGAGTCCAATTGCCTCAAGACTCAAATATTACCACCTCTTGGTTTAATTTGTCCCATGTTATTGATGTTAGAAACCCATTCTATACCAGTGGACCTCCTCGATCTTTAAACTAATGGATAGATAAATATAGTCTAAACTGAGTAAAGAAAGGTATGTCCCTACTATTCAAATGATTCATGATTCAATTCAATACTGTCAACATGAATAAATTCATTAGTGAACACACCCTTAAGGGCATCGCTTGTGCCTTCACCAGGCTTTGTGTTTATATGGGACATAGGGTCTGATCTGCCTGGATAGGGATGGTCACACCATTGCCTCAACAGCTTACACATAAAAGGTTCAGGCTTGCTTATGAAAAGACCCCCGTTCTGTCTTTATTATAAAACTAAAAGGTCTATGCTAACAGGATGTAAAGATAATATAGGTAAAAACATCCTAGAACTATTACTTCTAAGTGCTTGGGTTTATGTTACTGGAGATATAATTCAAAAACCTATCCACTACCATTGGTTAGATAGCTGATGACACTGCAGAAAGCCTTACAGCGCAACAAAAAGTTTCTGGACTCCCTTGGTCAAGTAATACTAAATAATAGAATTGCCTTAAATTGTCTCCTAGCCAAACAGAGAAGAGTCTATGCAGTAGCCCATGTAACTGCTTACACTTACATCAACACCTCAGATAAGGTAGAGGTTCCCATAAAAAGAATTTCCAAACAAGCTAAATCGTTATGAGATATGCAAACTACTGATCCTCTCCATCTATTTAGTAGGCTTCCTGTCAGACTGGAAAATTCTTTTTGAGCTGACATTCAAGTGCTTGTTGTAATCACAGTCTTCATCATAGTTTCTTCCTAATAGTTAAATTACTTGATATATATATATGTCTGTGTGTGTGTGTATATATATATATATATATGTCTGTGTGTGTATATATATATATATATGTCTGTGTGTGTATATATATATATATATATGTCTGTGTGTATATATATATATGCAACTGCTGTAAGTCTACTGTTAAAACCAGAATTATGGCAGCATAAGGTGTTCAACTGATAGATAAAGTAAACCTATAAACCTAGCTACAGTCTCATCCCTACAGTGCCGTTCTGGTGCAGGAATGTGTATATGTACGAAGACAGCTGTGCTAGTTAAAAACAAGTGTTACAATCTCCCATAAATAGAGAGTTTTAACTGTAACCCTAATGCCTATGACTTCCCTGTGTAACTGGAGTCTGTTAAGTATTTCACTGAAAGGTACCAGCCACAAGCTTGTTTACTTAGCCTCTGTAAAACATTTTAATAATCTTCCTGCCAGATTGCAGTTTTCTCCCACCTCCAACAAAATATTTTTGACCTGTCTACCCTTTTCCCCTGCCTGGCCTAAGTTATACAATTAGCTGTAAGTCTCTCTGCCACATGGGTCCCTTCAAGGGACTTGATACACTCAGGACAGGTAGCCATGCCACCCTGGCACTAATATGGGACATGGTGTAAATTGGTCATCAAGGCTGCCTACAGCAGGTTTCAACTAACAGGGAAAACAATGAATATATATTCCAACAGACAGGCAAAATGGACTCCCTGTGGCTAAAATGAGATTTAGCAAAAAACAGAATCTCATCACTAGCAGGATGGAGTATCAGTCACATATCCCAGTGTTATTAATTGCCATAAGTTTTCTCTCCAGTAACTAAGCAGAAATAAATCCCTGAAAAGCATTTCTGAAACAACTACAGCTGGAAAATTTCCCAACTGACCCTGACAGGCTGCTAATGCTAGTCAACACCCCCAACGCCCCCGACGCCTGTGCCTTGCAGTCCTGCCATAACTCCAACTGGACAGAGGACTGGTCCTTTATTGATAAACAGCCACAAATCTCAAGCCAGTTTTAAGCAGTTTACAGAGACTATGCACAGATTATCTTTGTGTCCGATTGGTTCTTTTTGATATAAAAAGCCAAATTCTGCCTTATTTTAATGCTAAAACCCTACCCTAAAGTGAACACTGAATGCATGTTACATATATTTTCACCCACTGTGCAGGCACTTGACTGCTTAATATGCAGGTAATTTCCCCCAACCCTGCTTAATATGCAGGTAAGGCTGACTCTGTAAGATATGTGTCAATTCCCCCTTCCTTCTGCAGAACAAGCACTTTTGATTTTCCCAGAAAGGGCATTTCCCAAGCTGTGGATTTCTTCTCCCTCTAAAGTAAAGTATCCTTTCTTTCCTCTGTGGACCTCACAGTCTTTTGTTCATAGATCATAGATGAGACTTTAGCCCACACATCAGTGGATAGGAGATGTTTTAAGATGGCATAAGGTATACAAGAAACAAACTGCCAAACTACCTAGGGATGAGCCCAGCTATTTGGTTTGGTTTTGTGTGATGAGCAAGGAGAAAGGGTAAAGTGGTTGCTACAGACACTGGTTATCTGATCATGTGGCCATGAAACAAGAGCAGCTATGGCAGGTGGATAATGAACACCTTAGACCCTGGGGAGTCAAGAGTAGAAGGAGAAAAAATTAAACTCTCAGCTCTCATCTGTGGGACATTTGGGCTGGCCCTATCAACTCACAATGCTTTGGTGATCATCTTGTTCCAGGCTATCACAACTGCTCTTAACCTAAGTACTGGGTGCCCCTCTTAAGGAAACTTTTCTTAAGAAAACCTTAACCTGAGACCTTTCTCTCTTTTTTTTAAAGGATCTTATTTTTTATTTCTATAGATTTAGGGGGTACAAGTGCAGTTTTGGTCACGTCTGGGCTTTTAGTGTACCCATCACCCAAATAGAGTACTTGTACCCAAAAGGTGTTTTCTTGTCCCTTACGCTCCTCCCACCCTCCCACCTTTCTAAGTCTCCAGTGCCTACTGTTCCACTCTCCATGTCCCTCTGTACATGATTTGTTGATGTTACAGGTAGGCAGCCACTACCCAAGATAAAGTTCTGCACACTAATATAGTTTCCTTTAGCCACATCTTGTTATATATGGATGTCTCCATTACTGTCAAGGAAAAGAAAGACTCTTATGTATTTTGCTCAAGCCTATAGCCACCCCTCTGAATTATATGGCTTGCTGGACCTGTCAACTCAGTAATCCTCCTGGCAAAAACCAGTAGCTATTACTATGAACACTTCAGAAATAGATTTCCTCCCACAGGAAATAATAACTTGCTCCCACTACAAAATGATGCTGAGGAAAAAGAATCAGACATAAATAAATGGAGGTGTATACCTCAAATATATCTAAAGATTCGATGCAATATCTTTCAGGAGATGAGTCTACTTTATTTTTGGTACCAATTGAAAAAAAGTCAGAAATTTACAATAAAATTCAAAGGGCCCAAAATACCCAAGATAACTATGAACCAGAAAAACAGTGTGAGGAATATACAATACAATATCTCAGAAGTTAATAAGAAATGTGTATTTATCCTGTGTCCAAGTGTTCTCATTGTTCAATTCCCACCTATGAGTGAGAACATGCGGTGTTTGGTTTTCTGTCCTTGCGATAGTTTGCTTAGAATAATGGTGAACATCACACACCAGGGCCTGTTGTGGGGTTGGCGGAGAGGGGAGGGATAGCATTAGGAGATATACCTAATGTAAATGACGAGTTAATGGATGCAGCACACCAACATGGCACATGTATACATATGTAACAAACCTGCACGTTGTGCACATGTACCCTAGAACTTAAAGTATAATAAAAAAAAGAAATGTGTATTTATTAAGATAGTGTACTATTGGTACAAGAGGAGCAAAAGCAGAAACATGCACAAATGTTCACTTGATTGATGATCAAGGTTATGATTCAGTGTAATAAAGAAAGGACAGTCTTCAAATAAATTGTGAATGTTTAATTTTATATCTTTATGTGTATATGTGTGTGTATACACACACACACATAAACTACAAACTGATTGCAGATCTAAATGAAAATGATAAAAAGTATGCCAAATATCTTGAGAAAAACAGAGCAACACACATTAAGTCCTATGTGTTATCTGTAAGTATTTGCTGCATGGCAAATACTTAGAGGCTTAAAACGATGGGTCATTTATTATTTTATGTTTTCTTTGGGTCAGGAATGAAGGTGTGGCTTAGATGGCCAATTATGGCTTAAGATCTCCCACACAGTATTGTTAAGATGAAGCTCTCCTGGTTCTGAGTGCTGTTTAATTCATGAATCATACTGCACTTCAATAAACAGCTATATTTCTCTAAAGTTTTTCTTTTCACAAATGGAAGATATCTTTAAAAAAAGAACCAAATGGAAATTTCAAAGATGTCAAATATTGCAATGAAAAATTCACTGGATCTCTTAATAAAAGGAAATATTAGTGGTCTTGAAATACAATAGTCAAATATATCCATATGAAAGCATGGAGTGAAAACTGAAGGAAAAAAAAAGAGCTTCCATGAAAGAAAGCAAAACTTTTACCACTCAAACAAAAACATATTATGAAGCTGAAATAATGCAGTTTTCAATGGAAACACGTTAATGTTTCAAGTAGTGAAATTGTTTACATAAAAATTATATTGAAGAAAATGTAAGAATATGAAAGACATTTAACATATATTAATCAGCATAAGAATATATAAATAAATAGAAAGGAAAAGGGTGGGGCATGGTGACTCACGTTTGTAATCCCAGCACCTTGAGAGGCTGAGGCAGGTGGATAACCTGAGGTCCGAAGTTTGAGACTAGCCTGGCCAACATGGTGAAATCCTGTCTCTATTAAAAATACAAAAATTAGCTGGGTGTGGTGGCAGGTACCTGTAATCCCAGCTACTCCAGAGGCTGAGGTAGGAGAATCGCTTGAACCCGGGAGAAGGAGGTTGTAGTGAGCTGAGATCACGCCACTGCACTCAAGCCTGGGTGACAAGAGTGAAACTCCAACTCCAAAAAAAAAAAAAAAGGAAAAAATACTTAATAGATGAAAATACAAATCAAATAAACCTTTCAAAGGAAAGAACAGCCATTTCACAGCAAAGAAAACTTATAGGGTTAGTCAAACTATGAAGATACAATCAATTTTACTAGCAATTAAGGCAAGTCTAATTGAAACCACAAAGAGATAATATTTTATACAAATACACTGGCAAAAATGACGGAGTCTGGCAATACCATGTGCTAAATCGGGTATAAAATAAACAACCTGTTATACAGTAAACAGTCATTGGATGTGTTAATTAGCACATTTATTTTTGAAATAAATTTCCCATTGCTAAGGCATGATCCACCCACTTGATAACCCAGAAATTCTACATCTAAGTATGTAGCCAGAAGACTCTTATGTACATCAAGAGTTAAGTACAAGACATAATAAAACTCTTCAGAATGGGAGGGGGGAAAAACCTACAAACACTCCAACTGCTCATAAATAGAAAAAAATCAGTAATTGTATATTTCCATACATAATGGATTATTACACAAAAAGTGAATAAATGAGCTACGTCACACAAAATTACATGGATATTTTTAGTAACGTAGGGGATGAAGAAAACAGTCCCAGAAGATTGTGCGATATTTTTTAAATGGTCTAAAATTCAAAGCTGATAAAAACTATGGTCAAATTATAAAATGATACTGTTAAATTAAAAATATGGATAGAATTTGCTTTTTGGACAGAGAAAAGGGTGAAAAATTAGGAATAATTGGGCCATGGATGTATCATTATTGCATCATGTATATTATCATAAATGACAATGAACCAAAGACTATAATTAGTCTAATTCTTTGGAAGCAAGTTAACATAAATGAAGTTGCTACAGATGCAAGGACTAAAATTAGGAGGTAAGAAAATAAATGAAAACACACATTTAATAACTTAGCCAACCAATGTAGCCACTTTGGTGGAATTTAAGGGATGATTAGATGATAATGATATTATTGATGCTACTGATGTGTATGGTACTAAAAGTGATATTGCTACTAATGTTTCTAAAATGATAAAAATCTGTTTTTTAAATTGATGTCACACTTACCCAGGGTTTAGACTCTAAACGTTTCAAATTTAGGATGAGTCAGTTATTGCATGCCCCATATCTCCCTATCTTATATTTGACAAAATAGTAAATATATTTTTTCAAATTTCCCCCTTATACATATCATATCTATATCTATAGATGCCATAAAAAAAAAACACAAAACATAATGAAAGAACAAATCTCTGGATAACCTGTAAGCTTTGCCACTAACCTCTTTATAGCCACAATCACACTGCTCTGTAGGTTCCAAAATTCCATTGCCACAAGTTGAAGATTTTCGGTAAGTCATTTTTGAAACTGTTTTATCCTGAAAACATTTAAGTTCAGGCTGCAGAACTATCCGTTTAAATCCATCCATGCTGCAACTGCTAAAAAACTTCATACCATGGGATCATCTAAAATTAAATTGTACTTCTTAGATAAATGGACTAAAAGAATCAAAGTAATACTCCTCAACAAAATGCTATGAATTCTGAACTACTTCACTTAGAGAAGAGCCAAAAGGAGAAGAGAATGCTTTTATTTTTAATACAGGTGATAAGCAAAAAATGAATTATTTGCTATTGTAATTTGATATGATAGACACTGAGAGAGTAAAGAAAGTTAAAATGGTAACACACTCAATAATATTTGGTACACAATAAGCTCCATTTGAGTATATCCTATTATTGTCAACATTAAGAAATAAAATTTGGTTGATTGTGTTAATGAAAAATCATAATTACTTGTTCTTTGTTAAAATTAATCAAAAAAGTTATCCCAATACTGAGGTATATAAATTGTACAAATTCTAGATTCCTTTTATTTTGTTTTATTTTTTGTATTTCTATACATTTAAGTATACTACTTAATGTGTAATTTTGGGTAATTTTGTAATAATCTCAAACTTAAATAATGCAAATATGGCCCAAAAAAATAAATTTTGTTTTCTGAAACAGTTAAGAGGCCGGCAATGTGTTCTGTGAACACTACATACATCTATGTAGTTCTTACATAGAAATGGGTTATTCTACATCAGCACCCTAGACCCTTCAAAATCATAAAATAATGACTTATTATTAATATCTAATGCTCGGACTCCATTCGGATTTTCCCAAACATCACAATCCTAGCATTTTATAGCAAAATAATCCAGTTCAGAATCAAGCATTGCAAAATTCTCATGTCTCCTTAGTTCTCATGTCTCCTTAGTTTAGTTGCTTTTCAAACTTCTTACTACCTAAGTACTATTTCACTTCATGACACTGAACAGTTTTTCAACCAATGCAACTAGACTGCTGTAAGGTAATCATTAGCATCCACTTTTCCTCTAAATAATATCACTGAATGTAGAACTATTAAGCACATTTCCTACAACATTCTATACTTTCTTTAATGTCTTAAGCACATTTGTATCTAAAACAATTTCTTAAATTATATTGCAAGAGGTTCTACATCAAGGAATACTAGAAATATTTCTTAAGAGAAAACATAGAGCTGATAAAAACAACTCCTTACATCGCATCAGGATTCATTATGCATGTAGTTCCTGGACAGTAACAATTGTAGATATCATCATATGTCAATCCCAGATTAATTCCAAGCAACTGTGCCATAACAACTGAAAAGGCCTCTGCAGTGATTTTCTTTGGATACTAAATAGAAACAAACAAACAAAAACCCAGATTTATTGCCTAAGATATTTTTTCACTCCTTTGATCTTGTCAAACGTTTCTAGCCATACTATATAAATACAAATGCAAATTTTAAAAACTGCTATTTATTTACTTAGAAATAAATTATTTCTAACTACTTAGAAATAAAAATAGGTACAATTTTTTATTCCTTTTGAGTGACAATATTTTTAATCAAAATGACATTGACCTAAAATAAGAATAATTCAATCATATATTTTTATGACATACTATTGAATTTAATTCCAGCAAATTTCAGAAAACGTTCTGAGAAGTAGGAGGATTATTTTAGTAACTACAATATTTCTCAAGAGAACACTTGGAAAAGATACACAGATTTTGGAGAGTTGAACAGGCAATCAGTTTTGACCTCAGAAATAATTTGAGAAGAGTCAATTTTTTAAAGTAGAATAATATAACATCTTACAAGTAGCATTTCTACAAACTTCCAGAAACTTTGTCATTATCTCTATATTTTTCCTATTTCTGAAAATCATATAGTGAAAATATTACCACATATAGTCTTCTAATAAGGGTTTCTCTCACCACAAATTTAAGGGTTTTCCACATCTTATTGTGGCTTAATAGCTTATTATTTAAATCACTGGGTAGTATTCCATTGTATGGATGTTCTAAAGTTTGCTCATCCATTCACCTGTTAAAGGCTATCTAAGTTACTTCCAATCTGTGGCAATTATGAATAAAGCTAAAAACACTTATGTGAAATTTTTTGGTGGATAAAAGTTTTTAACTCATTTAGGTAAATAAATGGATGGTTTACCATAAGGAGGATGATTGCTGGACCATATGGCAAGGGTAAGTTGAGTATTGTAAGAAACTGTAAAACTGTTATCCACAGTGGCTATATCATTCGCATTTCTGTCAACAATAAATGAGAGTTCCTGTTGGTCTCACAGAATTTGGTGCTTTCCATGTATGATGTTGACCGTGACTGGTAAGCTACTTTCTTGTGTTTTTCCTGATCTAAGTAGTAATGTGTTATTTACTCAAAATATGTTGTTTCCTGTTTTTTTTTTTTGTAGATGCTCTCTTTAAGTTAAATAAGTTCCCCTGTATTTTTAGTTTGCTGAGAGTGTTTATTATAAATAGTCTAGGATTTGGTTTTTCTGAATCTACTACTAGAATCATATAATTTTTCTTTTTTAGCCTATTAATATAATGGAGGACATTATTTTATATTCATGATAAACCAGCCATGCATATCTGGGATAAATTACATATATATGTACATTATTATTATATATATGTATGTTACATATATATATATACACACACACACAAGGAGATAGAAACTAAAAAATAATTTAAAAAATCTGTAACTGGATTGGGGGGGATGGAGCAAGATGGCGGAATAGAAAGTGCCACTGATCATCTCTCCTCCTGCCCCTGACTCCCACCAACGACACCAATTTGAGAACTATTGACACAAAAAAAGTGCCTTTATAAGAACAAAAAAATCAGGTGAACACATTACAGTACCTGGTTTGTTTATTTATTTACGTTTTTGAGACAGAGTCTCACTTTTGTCACTCAGGGCTGGAGTGCAATGGCACGATCTTGGCTCACCGCAACCTCTGCCTTCTGGATTTAAGCGATTCTCCTGCCTCAGCCTCCTGAGTAGCTGGGATTACAGGCATGCACCACTACGCTGGCTAACTTTTTTGTAATTTTAGTAGAAATGAGGTTTCATCATGTTGGCCAGGCTGGTCTTGAACTCCTGACCTCAGGTGATCCACCCACCTCGGCCTCCCAAAGTGCTGGGATTACAGACGTGAGCCACCATGCCCAGCTCTGGTTTTAATTTCACATAGCTGAAAGAGGTACTGAAGTAGAAAAACCACTGACACCAACCCTCGTCAATCCTGTGGCAACAGTGGCATGGTGCAGAGAGCATTTCTTTGTGCTGGGGAGAGGAGAACGCAGCAATTGTGAGGCATTGAACTCAGTGCTGCACTTTTATAGCAGAAAACAAAACTGGGCCAAACTCAGCTGATGCCCACCTACGGAGGGAGTATTCAAACCAGCCCTAGCCAGAGAGGAATCGCTGATCTCAGTGGTTGGAACTTGAGTTCCTACCAGCCTCACCACCATGGGCTAAAGTGCTCTAGGGCCCTAAATAAAACTTGAAAGGCAGTCTAGGCCACAAGAACTGCAATTCTAGGTGAATCCTAGTGCTGAACTGGGCCCAGAGCCAGTAGACTGGGGGCACATGGCCTATTGAGATACCAGCTGGTGTGACTAAGGGAGTGCTGGCATCACCTCATCCCTAACCCCAGGCTGCAGAGCTCATAGCTCCAAAAGAGACCCCTTCCCTCTGCTTGAGAAGGGGAAAGGAAAGACTGGGGAAGGCTTTGTTTTGCATGTTGGATGCCCGCTCAGCCACAGCAGGATAGGGCACCAGTCAGAGTCCTGAGGCCCCCTTTTTAGGCCTTAGCTCCTGGATATCATTTCCAGAAGGAACCCACTGCCTTGAAGGGATGGACTCAGTCCTGAAAAACGTCATCACCTGCTAACTGAAGAGGCCTTGAGACCTGAATAACCAACAGTGATACCCAGGGAGTGTGCCATGGGCCTTGAGTGAGCATGTGAGATTTGCTAGCTTTGGGTGAGACTTCATACACTCTCAGCTGTGGTGGCAACAGGGCAAGGCTCCTTCGCTTGAGAAAAGTGGAGGGAAAAGTAAAGGGGACTTTGTCTTGCACGTTAGGTAGCATCTCAGCCACAGGGCAGCAGAGCACCAAGCAGGCTCTCTGGGTCCCTGATTCCAGGACTTGGCTCTTGGGAAGCATTTCTGGACCTGACCTAGGCTAGAGGAGAGTCCAATGCCCTGAAGGGTGAGTCCCAGGTCAGGCAGCATTCACCACCAGCTGACTGAAGAGCCCTTGGGCATTAAGGGAACATTAGCAGTAGTCTGGCAGTGCTCTCCACGGGCCTGTGTTGGTGATGGCAATGAGGTGAGGCTCCTCACCCAGTTTGTCCAAACATGACAAATAATATGCTCCTGAATAACCAGTGAGTCAATGAAGAAATTAAAATGGATATTGAAAAATTTCTTTAAACAAATAATAATGGAAAAATGACATACCAAAACCTGTGGGATATAGCAAAAGCTGTACGAAGAGGGAAATGTATAACTATAAGTATGCACACCAAAAAAGAAGTAAAACTTCAAGTAAACAACCTAATATGTGTCTTAACGAACCAGAAAAGCAAGAGCAAACCAAACCCATAATTAGTAGAAGAAAAGAAATACTAAAGATTAGAGCAGAAACAAATGAAATTGAAATGAAGAAAATAATACAAAAGATCAAAGAAACAAAACGTTGGTCTTTTGAAAAGTTAAACTAAATTGACAGACCTTTAGCCAGACTAAGAAAAAAAAAAAGAGAGATCCAAATAAATAAAATCAGAGATGAAAAAGGAGACATTACCACTGATACTACAGAAATTCAAATGATCATTGGTGGCTACTGTGAGCAACTATATGCCAATAAAATGAAAATCTAGAAGAAAGGGACAAATTCCTAGAAACATACAACCTACCAAGATTGAACCATGAAGAAATCCAAATCCTGAACAGACCAGTAGCAAGTAACAGGTCGAAGCTATAATTAAAATGTCTTCCTGGAGCGAAAAGGCCAGGACTTGATCGCTGCACTGCTGAATTCTACCAAATATTTAAGAAGAACTAATACCAATCTTAAACAATTCTGAAAAACAGAGTAGAAAGGAATATTACCAAACTCATTCTATGAGGCTAGTACTACCTTGATACCAAAACCAAACAAAGACACATCAAAAAAAGAAAACTACAGGCCAATATCTCTGATGAATATTGACACAAAATTTCTCAACAAAATACTAGCAAACCAGATTCAACAGTACATTAAAAAGATCATTCTTCATGGCCAAGTGTGGTTTATCCCTGGGATGCAAGGATGGTTCAACACATGCAAATCAATCAATGTGATACATCATATCAATGGAAATCAAGGACAAAAACCATGTGATTATTTCAATTGATGTTGAAAAAGCCTTTGATCAACTTCAACATCTCTTTGTGCTAAAAATACTCAAAAGCTGGTATAGAAGATGCAGGTCTCAAAATGATAAAAGCCATATATGACAGACGCACAGTTAGTATCATACTCACTGAGGAAAAACTGAAAGCCTTTCCTCTATGATCTGGAATATGAAAAGGACACCCAGTTTCTCCACAGTTACTCAACATAGTACTGGAAGTCCTAGCTAGAGCAATCAGACAAGAAATAAAGGGCATCCAAATTGAAAAATGAAAAGTCAAATTATCCATGTTTGAAGATGATATAATCTTATATTTGAAAAAACCTAAAGATTCCATGAAAAAACTATTAGAATTGATAAACAAATTCAGTAAATTTGTAGGATACAAAATCTACAAACAAAAATCAGTAGCATTTCTATGTACCAACAGAAAATCTGGAAAAGAAAATTTTAAATGTAATAGCATTTCCAATAGCCACCAATAAAATTAAATACCTAGAAATTAACCAAAAAAGTGAAAGATCTCAGTAATGGAAACTATAAAGTATAAAACATTGATGTAAGAAATTGAAGAGGAAACAAAAAAATGAAAAAGTATTCCATGTTTATGGATTGGAAGAATCAATATTGCTAAAATGCCCATACTGCCCAAAACAATCTACAAACTCAATGCAAACCCGATCAAAATCCAATGACATGATTCACAGAAATAGAAAAAAAAAATCTGACAATATATATGGAACCACAAAAGTCCCAGAAGAGCCAAAGGCAAAATAACAAAATTGGGGGAATTACATTACCTGACTACAAATTATGCTACATAGCTACAGTAACCAAAATAGCATGGTACTGGCATAAAAGCAGATATTTAGACCAATGGAACAGAATAGAGAACCCAGAAACAAATCCACACAGCTACAGTAAACTCATTTTTGACAAAGTTTCCAAGAACATACACTGTGGAGAAGACAGTCTCTTCAGTAAATGGTGCTGGGAAAACTGGATATCCATAGGCAGAAAAATCAAACTGGACTCCTATCTCTCACCATATACAAAATTCAAATAAAAATGAATTAAAGTCTTAAATCTAAAACCTCAAACTATTTAACTACTAAAAAAGTTAGAGAAATTAGAGAAATACATAAAAGGATGAGTCCGTCCATGGATTAAACTATTAACGGGCTATCATAAGAATGAGACTGGTGGCTTTATAAGAAGAGGAAGAGTGACCTGAGCTGGCATGCTCAGCTCCCTTGCCATGTGATGCCCTGTGTCACCTTGCAGCATCCTCATCAGCCACAAGCGCTCACCAGATGTGGCCCCTTTACCTTAGACTTTGCAACCTCCACAACTGTAAGGAATAAATTTCTGTAAAATTACACAGTTTAAGGTATTCTGTAATAGGCAACAGAAAATCGATTAAGACAGTATTTATCCAAAAGTAATAAAATCAGAATATCAAGGAGATGTATGCACTTCCATGTTCATTGCAGCACTATATACAGTAGCCAAGATATGGAAATAACCTAGACATCCTTTGTCAGGTGACAGGGTAAAGAAAATGTGGTATATACTTACAATTAAGTACATTTCAGCCATCAAAACAATGGAAATTCTGTCACATGCTACAACATAGATTAACATTGAAGAGATTATGTTCAGTGAAATTAACCAATCACAGAAAGAAAATACTGTATGACTACACTTATATGAGGAATCTGAAGTTGTCGAATTGATGGAAACAGAAAGTTAAATGGTGGTTTCCAGGTGGTTAATGGGTATAGAGTTTCAGTTTTTTAAGAAAAAATGTTCCAGAGATTTGTTTCACAACAATGGGAATATACTTAACACTACTAAAGTGTACACTTGAAAATGGCTAGAGTTATACATTTTATGTTACCTGTTTTCACTCCCAGTAAGAAACCTCTTGTAAAATTACATTTGATTTCCAAAATCTAAAAATACAATTTTCAAAGATTTATCAAAACAGTGTGAGAGATTACCAGAGCAATTCCTGTTGCAAACTTTGGATCGCATGCCATTCCGTGATATGTTGCTCCCACATAAGTAGAATGGTTCCTATAACTGAATAATGAAATTTTTCTTGTGGATATGTGTATTTAAAAATAGCAATAACTTACTCATATTTTATGAGTTGGATTTCTATATAAAGGTATGCTTTCTCCAAAACACAGAAATTACATATAATGTCTTATGCTTTCAGTCATTAAGATTTGGGTATCCCCTATAGTTCATATAAAGTTAAGTCCTAAAAGTTGTTTAACATTATCTAATACACAGCTCAAAACCTAGCAGTGCATGATTCTTTCAAAAAATTAATCATCACTGGAAGGATATAATTAATTCCATGATATAAAAGTCAAAAGTGTTTATTGCTGTAATTTGTATGTAGTAAACCAACCCCAAAAGTGTGAAGAAAGGTAGGACTGAAAGAGATAGAGAAAGATAAAATATGCATCAGATTTACGAAGAGAAAGAGAGGTAGGGTGTAGAAACCATCCTTACATATTTATATCTTAATATTGCTCTGTAATCCTAGACACTCTTTATTCCAATACATTGATAAATATGTTCCACATATTGCTTAAGGTCTTTAAAATTGTGTTTTTGATTTTTGCACATGAAATAATCAAGTTGGTAAAATAAAAGTATATAAAGACTTTTGAAAGATACAAAACAAGTAGGTAAATAGCTACATCTTAGGTCAGTACAGAAATACCAGAAGGAAACCACATGGAGAATAAAGTGGTCTATTTTAGTTATTTATTAATATTTCATACTGTAACAAGCATTTTATGCAATTATTGCATTCAATAAATTAACTTATATTTATGTAATGTTAAAGTGATGGTTTCAATTATTTACTAGTGAGAAGGTCTTTACAAACAGAGAGGTATCATGTTTTTATCACAAGACTTTCCATTTTTCAGCTCGTTACATTTCTATAAGTAAACAGTCTACTATGGGCTACCATGATTTAATTAGTGTCTTACATGGTTATTAGAATCTTAATATTTTGCAGTTTGCCAACACAGTCTTCAGATAGCTTTTTAATAATTATTGTTATATAAAATTTATATATAATTATGATAGCTAAGATAATTTGATAAAACCTTTCTAAATATGAATAAAGTACTTACATTAATAAGTATGTCATATCATGAGACCTTTGAAACAAAAATTTTTGTTTCCAAGGCAAAAATCGCTGTAGTATTTCATCAGCATGACCACTTGTTGAAATCTTATTTTGATCTGACCAGATCTCCAAGGAAGACAGCATAACTGTCATATTAAGCTGGGAAAACATCTGAGAACAGAAATTACGTGTTTTACAATTTTGGGTAACCATAAATATGACACTACTTCTCAATATCTAATGATAATATATTTAATTTACTATTTTTGAAGATAAAGTCGTTGGTGGATAAAATTAGTGGTTGGGCTACATTTACATTTTTACTTTTTGTTAAAATGTAAATGCTATATATATGTACATAAGCACAAATAATTTTACGTCATTAATTGCTATATTGCTTACTAAAATATAAAATATAAATACTCACAGTGTTGATAAGACCAAAGATTTGGAAAACTTTCTCAACTGCAACTGCCACCGTGGAGCCCATATAAGCATACTGAAAGACAAATTTTGTTTCTTAATCGCTAGTAAAAACAACTAACTACCACATTTTAAGTGGATTTAAATATAAATGTAAAAATAATTCAGTGGTCAATTGAAGAGGCACTAAATAGAATTAAGATATATCACAGTTTACCAAGTTTTACACATCGGCCTAGTATTTTATAAATTAATCAATGATATTAAAATGAGGTAATTGTGATTATCTTCCTCTTTACAGATAAAGAAATTCAAAGTCAAAGTGTTAAGGTATGAAGAGTGAATAACCTACTGGTTAGCCCGGTGTGGTGGCAGGTGCCTGTAATCCAAGTAGCTAGCTTTAAAAAAAAATTAATTAATTAATTAATTTAAAATTTTAATTTGCATATAGTTGTTTTTTATTGTCTTTGTCATTTAGTTACTGTTTAATCTGTTGATATTTTGTGATTATATATCAATTGTTTATCAAAATATCAATTTTGTGACTATATATCAATTACATATCAGTATATCAGTTTTGTGTTTATATATCAATAATCACAAGATGTCAACAGACCAAACACTAGATGGCAAAGACAATGAAAAAAACAACTATATGCAAATTAAAAATGTAAAGGACCCATAAAATATAAGTACATAGAAATATTAATAATCAAAGGATGAAAACACATCATCTAGCATCAGGAAAATACTAGAAAAGAAAAAATATGTTATGTGATAATTATATTAACTAACATAATACATTGATAAGAATAAAACTTAAAGGCAAAAAATGGACATGCTTATCACAACATATTAATAAAATAATTCATCAGAGAGATGGAGACTTTTAAATTTGCTTATAACTAAAAACATGGCTGCAAAATATATAAAACAAGATTTAACACAATTAAAAATAGAAATTGACTATCATACTGAGATATTTTAAATAGGTCTCTTAATAACACATAAATTAAGAAGACAAATTAATAGGAAAGATACTCAAGACTTTAAAAACCCAAAGCAATGTTGGATAAAATATACATACATAGAAGCTTATATACAACAATGAGAATATGTATTTTTTTTCAAATACAAATGAAAGTTTTATGCACATTGATTCATATTAACCAATATTAGGCCATAGAACACAGCTTTGAATAAGAAACAGAGTGTCACTTAAATCACATTATCTGAACACAATGCAACTAAGTTACAGTGGACTTGATAAAAATATTTTAACAATGTTATTTTTAGTGAAATGGATACCTCTGTTGTGGTTATATGAGATAATAGTCTTATTCTAGGTAAATACACACTAAAGAATGTAAGAGAAAAGCTTCATGATGAGCTTCACAACTTACTTTCAAATTTAAATGAAGAGTGCACAAGTGATAATGGGATACAATATTAATAAATGTGAGAAAAGAGAATAAGGGCCCTCTTTGTATTATTTTATTCTTGTAACTTTTCTAAAAGTTTCAAATTATTTCCAAAAGAAATGTTTAAAAAGTGCAGATGAAATAAAGACAATTTCAGATGAAAAGAAACTGAAGAGAATCCAGCAGGCTAAAGAGAAATATCATACATTAAGTAACCTACTACAAGGTATGAAAAGCTCTGCAAGTGAAAAATGTATGTGTGTGTGTGTGTGTGTGTGTGTGTGTGTGTGTATATATATATATTCATATATATGAATATTTATGTATATTCATATATATGAAATACACATCTATGAATATATGAATATATATGAATATTTATGACCATATATGAATATATGAATATTTATGAACATATATACATATATTCATATATATGAATATTTATGAACATATATACATATATTCATATATATGAATATATGAACATATATTCATATATTCATATATATGAACATATATTCATATATGAATATATATGAATATTTATGAATATATATTCATATATATGAACATATATTCATATATGAATATATATGAATATTTATGAATATATATTCATATATATGAAACACTTCATTTCCTTAATTTCTTTTTAAAATAATTGAATATTGAATTTTTAAAAATCTATTTTTCAGTTTATAACACATGGAGAGGTAAAATCTTTAAAAACAGATTCATAATGACTTACCAGGGTTAAATGAAATTTTACTGCTCTGAGGCTCTTACATTATTAATGAAGTGGTATAACATTAATTCTAGATCATGATAAGTAAAGAATACTAATCAGAATCCCTAGGGAAACCGCTAAGGTTGGAGACTGGAAAGAGAGGCATAGCAAAAAAAAAAAAAAAAAAAAAAAATAGAGGGAAAAATAAAGGTTAAATATAACCCCTTGATCCAAGGGTAGGAAAGAAGAAACAAATAAGCAAATAATTGATGGTATGTAAGAACACTAATAGTAAAGTATTATTTAACCAACATCCATAGTTATCAATTCTTTTGAGAAAAAACTAAACATTCTATAATTCTTCCTATTTTTAAGATACAGAACTTCTACCGGAGATGGTAAGCAACTATAAAACATAAAGTAATCTTCTGAGGGATAATATTTAATAACAAAGATTTCCAACTGAGTAATAAAACAACTCACTTAAAAATAGAAATACATTGAAGAATTTCAATCAACAATTGGAGTAGATCTAAAAGTATCTGCAGCTAGATATGCTACAATAGATTAGAGTGTAGTGGAACCCTTCCATATGAAGTTATACATTATTGGGAAAATTGATATCGATTTAGAAATCAATATATAAATATTGATCCCCCATGTCACTGTAAAGGCAAGTGAAAACATTTCTTTATCTCCTGCTAGACTGAGACACACAGTCTAGAAATCAATATAAAAATATTGATCCCCCATGTCACTGTAAAGGCAAGTGAAATCATTTATCTCCTGCTAGACTGAGACACAATGCAGATATATTAAAATATATCTGCATTGAAAACGTTGTTTTTTATTCATATTCTCTCTGAATTTCAACAAAAGCAAAGATATAATAAACATACTGATATTGCATACCATGGCTTTATCCATAATGATTTGTATTTTCAGAGTTCTTTTCGATAGCATGGCACCTGAATTTATCTGTGAAATAGAGGACATGAATTAAATAACACATTTTCAAAATTTTTACATTGCAGTTGTCATGTGCAATACACATGCACACACACTCACAGGTGAGATATGGAATATCCATCCATTTAGCTACCCATCTATCTATATGCAGATGGATGATAGATATTCAGACACAGATACACGAATATAGATATAAGTAATAACACAAGAGGATGATGGGTACACCCTTAGCAGGTAGGATTCCAAATACAAATTTTACAAGAAAATCAGAAGCATTTTATTTTATGTTATTGATCATTAGAATTGGCAAAAAGTCACTGAAATGAAAAATCCCATATTTCCTTCCCCTTTTAACATTCCTATATACTCTGTAGCACACCACTACCTCACCAATTTTTTTTTTTTTTTTTTTTTTTTTTTTTTTGAGACAGAGTGTCGTTCTCTCGCCCAGTCTGGAGTGCAGTGGCGCGATTTCGGCTCACTGCAAGCTCCGCCTCCCGGGTTCAAGCCATTCTCCTGCCTCAGCCTCCTGAGTAGCTGGGACTACAGGGGCCCGCCACCACGCCCAGCTAATTTTTTGTATTTTTAGTAGAGAAGGGATTTCACCGTGTTAGCCAGGATGGTCTCGATCCCTCACCAATCTTCAAGGTAAACTAACATCCGTAAACATTTCCCCTAATGTTGCCTTCATTTTCTTATTATTTTTGTACTTTTACTTCTTTATGTTAACTTTATTGGGGTTTACATTCAATAAAATGTGTCCATTTTAAGTATAAACTTATTAGCGAGTAATGTATACACCATCACAATTTATAAATTGGTATTTAGAACAATTGGAAGAATTACATCAAAATATTAAGAGCACTATCTTTAAACAATGAGGTTTCACACAATTTATACAATTTCTAGTGTATTATCTTGCCCCCTTTTCACTTTTACATTTTCTATCAAAATAACACTTTTAAATAAAAAAACGCATGTGCAAAAAAACTTATAAAGCAATTTGATTAAATTGGTAATAATTTTATTAGTAAGATGCAAAATCAATATAAAAATAACTATATGTCTATAAAAATCCCTGCAATTAAGGAAACATGTTATGATGCTTTAGAATTATGTGTGTTTATAACGATTACATTTTCTAAATATCTGAATAAACAAATATATGTTTTAAACGTCCTACAACTGAACTTTTTAATATAAATATCAGTTTAAATTTATTCTCCAAATGTGTCAAATTTCAAAATTTCACTGTGAATAACTTTATCAACAGTAAGACCAATGAAGAACTCATAAATGAGAATACTCACGTCTGATTTGACAAGAATCCTGTAGGACTGATCTATATATTGAGCCACAGGATAATTTTCTTGAAAGGAGGAATGACCAATAGCATCATTTTTAATTCGATAAACTACATGCTTATATGTAGGTGAAGATTCCAATGGTTCAATACCATAACTGATATTATCTAACTGCAGTAATCCTCTGGATATTCAAATACAAAAAAGGAATAAAAATGTTACTGATAAATTTGAATACATTTTATGCTAGTGAGAGTTTTTTTCTGAATACATTTTATGCTTGCCCACCTGGGATAGAGAAAAAGAGAATAGAAAAATAGATCAACAAAACAGGTAAAAAAGAAAAGTATTTAAGAAAATAAAGTTTATATTCCTCTATATTTATTCTACCCTTCAAGAAGTTTCTGGAAATTAAAGGCTCACATAAAATCTCAATGTACATATCTGGAATACGCCATTACCTGAGTCCAGAACAGGTGCGTAGTGCCACAACTGATTTTGGAATGTCTGCAGCATATCCTTGGTAAAAGCAATGACCCTAAAAAGGAATATAGAAAGATATATTCATAAATGATTTGGAAACAAAGTCCTAGCTTTTATCTTTACTTCCTATATATTGTCAAGCATTCATATTTAACCATTATCATAATAGTATTTATCAGGTATTGAATCTCCATATCAATCTACAATCTCTTTCTCTAAGTTCTTTTCTGCTATGTTATTAGCTCGTAAACATTTTCATCAGTAACATACACTTTTTCTCAAAATGAGGCATAATCTCTATTCCCACTTGCTGACACTGGCAGGCCAAATCTACCCCTAGTAGCAGTTATCAGAGCCCAGGTGGACCAATCAATCCTACCCAAACACACATTTACAGCAATGTGCCTGTTACACTCACACCATCAAGACTAACAAACTCAGGCAGGGAAATCCATATCCTGCTCCATGTCAAGCAACAGCAGCAGTCACCTGCACTTGCAGTGGTGCCAGCAGGACCTGAATCTATAAGCCCCTCACAAAGAGGTAGAAGGCAATCCAGGTCCCAACCTCTCTCCAGCAGTAGAGAGTAATCCAGACTCAATAGCTTCTGGCTGTGCACCCAGCAGGAGAAAATGATCTTCATGAGTTACTTCCCATTTCTCCCTACTATAAGTAGAAAAAGATCATTCAGATAGGAGCTATCTTCAACCAGGGTCACTGGCAGAGATAGAATCAAGCACACTGAAATCTAGTAGCAGAGAAAAGACAGGAGAAATGTTCTCCATCCTATGGATCTTTCCTTACCCACCTCAACCGGAAACACTACCTGGCCCAGGGAAGTACGATTTACACCTCTAGCTTAAACGCTTAAGAGGCAGCAGAAGGTCCAATGCAGCCAGAACAATGAAACACAACACAATAATATTGTAAAGAAAAAAATGTTATTGGAACAGTGGACTCCAATAAAACAAAGCTCAAACTGAATGACTGTCTTCTAAAATAGAATATTAAAATAAGATCAAGAGTCTTGACTAAATGTCAAGGATATAATCAAAATAATTCATTATAACAAGGACCAGGAATATCCCAACAAGAATGAGAAAAGAAAATCAACTGATGACATGATAAGTCATAGGATATCAAAAAATATTTGAAAGAAGTAATAAAAATTGCATTAATGAATAATGACAAATTCTCTTGAAATAAATGAAATAACAGAAAATCTTAGGAAATAAATAGAAGCCAAAAAGGGAACAAATGAAAATATTATAACTGAAATATATAATAAACAAACAAGTGAAACACTGAATAAGCTCTATAGTCTGGAGTACAGATGACAGTGGATAGGATCACCAGGTTTAAGGAGAATGGATCACATATACCCAACCTGCAAAATAGAGGACAAGTGGCTGAAAAATATATGATGTTTCAAAAACTTGTAAAACAATAGCAGAAGACCTATAATTTATACTTTAAAAAGAAAAAAATGGGGTTTAAATAATATTTAAAATATTAGTACTGAAATTTTGGTCAGCCAGATTGTGAAACAGGAATCCCGGGACGCTTCTTCTCCCACAAGCATACCAATTCAGCAACATTATATGGAAAAATTACCTTTGTGAGTAATCAGAAACTAATATAGAGACATATACGCTGGGAGGATGCAAAACTAGACTCACTAAAGCTCGTAGAGAGACTTGGATCACTCTCTTGCCAGGAAACCCAAAGATATCTACACCTAGACCTATTTTAATCAAACATTAAAAGATCAAAAACAAAGAGAATTTTGTAAACTACAAAAGAATAGCAACTTGTCGCATACAAAGGAAACTCCATAGGACTATGAGCAGACTTTTTTTTTTTTTTTAAGGAGAAACCTTGCTGGCCACAAGAGAGTGGGATGAAATATTTTTTTAAAGTGCTGAAAGAAAAAAAAAAGCCAAAAAGAATGCTATACAAATCATTATGGATTTCTTATAAAATCTATAAGAAACTCACTTGAGACTTAAGCACACATATAGGATGAAGGTAAAGAGATGGAAAAATAAATTCCATGCAAATGGTAAGCAAAAGGGGCAGAGATTTGTATACTTATATCAAAGAAAATAGATTTTGACACATAAATCATCATAAGAGAAAAAATGACATTTTATAATAATAAAAGGGTCAATATCTGAAGAAGATAGATTACTTATAAATATGTGCACACTCAATATTAGAACATATAAATAAATAAATCTGAAGGAAGAAATAGACACCAATACTATAATAATAGGAGACTTTAATACCTTATTTTAAATAATGAATAGAACATCCAAAGAGAAGATTAATAAGAAAACAGAAGATTTGAATATTACTATAAACCAAATAGTTCTAACAAACATATAAAGGATTTCATTGAACAGCGGAAGAATATACTTTCTTCTAAAGTACACTTGGATCTTTTCCAGACAGATCACATATTAGGTTAAAAAACAAATCTAAAAATTTTAAAAAGATTGAAATCATAACAAGCGTCTTTTCTGAACGCAATAGAATGAAGCTAAAAATAAATAGTATAAGGCAAACTAAAATATTAACAAATATTGAAATTAACACACTATTGAATAACTATTGGCTGAAAGAATTGGCTGAAGAAATTAGAAACTATTGGCTGAAGAAATTAGAAAATACCTTGAAATAAGTGAAAGCATAAAAATAAAAGTAAACAAAAAATATTAAAACAAACGGATGCAGGAAAAGCAATACTACGAGAAAAGTTCGTAGCAATGTATGCCTACATTAAAAAAAAGGCATATCTCACATATGTTTACCTGAAGAAACTAGAAAAACAACGATAAAACTAAGTCCCAAATTAGCAGAGAAAATTTAAAAAACAAAGATTAGAACAGAAATAAACCAAATAAAAATAGAAAAACCAATATAGAAACAAAGAAGTTCATTTTTTGAAACAAAATTGACAAACTTAGCTATGCTAAGAAAATAGAAAGGATGCGAATAAATAAAATCAGAAATAAAACAGAGACATTACAACTAATGCCACAGAAACAGAAAAAGATCATGTAAGAGACTAGTATGAACAATTTTCTGTCAGCAAACTGGATAATCCAAAAGAAATTGATAAATTTCTAGAAACATACAAACAGCCAAGATTGAATCATAACGAAGTAGAAAATTTAAAAGGACTCACAACTAGAATGAATATTAGATCAGTAATCAAAACCTACCAACAAAGAAAAGAGCAGGATCAGAGAACTTTACTGTTGAACTCTATCAAATATTTAAAGAATAATTAATGCCAGAACAACCATTCTTAAACTCTTGCAAAAAACTGAAAGAGGAAACACTTCCAAACTTATTCTATGAGGCCAGACACCACAGCCACATAAATCATTACAGGAAAAGAAAACGACAAGCCAATATCACTGATGCACATAGATGGAAAAAAATCTCAAAAACATCTGAACTCAACAGCGTATTAAAAGTGTCCTACACTATGACAAGGTGGGATTTATCTCCGGAATATAACAGTGGTTCAACATAAGAAAATCAATTAATGTGGTACACCATATTATATAATAAATAATACAACTTACAGGATGAAATTAATAGATGCAGAAAAAGCAAATCTCAGCTTCCTTTATAGGACCTTATACATACATTATTATGAGCCTAATACAAAAATCAAACAAAGCCAGTACAAAACAAAACTTGCAGATCAGTATCTCTCATGAATACTGAGGAGAGAAACCTCAAGATAATAAGTCATGTGTAAAAGGAATTATAATTATACATGTCAGGACTTGGTTGTAATTTTTTAGGTATGCAAAACTATTTCAAGATTTAAAAATAAATCAATTCGATCCAACATGCCAAAAGGCCAAAAAAGAAAAGAAAAACTTGTAATCCTATCAACTGATGCAGAAAAAGCATTTTCTGTAACTAAATAGCCATTAATGAACAAAAAGAACAACATAAACTTTTAGCAGGCTAGAAATAGAGAATTTTCTCAACTTAATACAGAGACTATAAAAAAACCTAAAGCCAAAATTATTTTTTCACAATGAAAGACTGAATATGTTTTCCATGAAATTGGGAATAATCGAAGAATGCCCTCACTACGGTTATTCAACATGGTCCTGGACATTTTAGCAAATTACAGTGAGGCAAAGCAAAGAAATGAAAAGCAGACTTACATACTGGTTGAAAATGAAGAAGGAAAATTGTCTATATTTGTTAAAGACGTGTCTATGTAGGAAGTCTCAAGGCATCTATTAAAAAGCCCTTCTAGAACTAATATGTGAATTTAGCAAGATTGTAGAATAGTAGATGAAACCTGAAAAATGGATTGCATCACTAGAAAAGAACAATATACAGGTGGAAACTAAAATTAAAACACAATATCATTTACAATTGTTCCAATAAAATGAAATACTTAGGTATAAACCTAAAAAATGTATAGGATCTGAAAGCTGAAATAACAAAAACACTAGTGAAAGATATACGTAAAAGACCAAATAAATAGAGAGACTTACTGTGTTTGTGGATTGGAAAAGTTAACATAGTAAAGACATCAGTTCTCCCCAAATTGATCTACAGATTTAACACAATTTCTATCACAATCCTAGCAAGTTTTTTTTTTTTATTTGCACATGGAGTAGCTTTATCTAAATCTTACATGAAAAAGCAAAATATCTAGAACAGAATAGCTTAAAAAGTTTAAAAAAGAATAATAAAGTGGGAAAAACCACTGTAGTTAACAATCCAGAAATATATCCACACTAGATCCATGGATTTTTTTTTGACAAAGTAGTTAAAAGAGCGATTCAAAGCAGAAATATAGCCTTTTAAAAATATAGTGTTGTAACTAATATACATCTAGTCAAAAGACTGAACTTTGATCCAAATTCCACACCTTATACAAAATTACCTCAAAATAGATAAAGAATTAAATGTAAAGTATAAACTTAAAAAAAACCCAGAAAGTCTTCAGAAACTACTGCTATGTAGCGTCCGTAGGTTTGACATGAAAACAACCAATCACAACAAGAAATTGTTGATAAATTAGTCTTCATCAAAAATAAAACTTTTTGACCAGTGGCAGACCATTTGAAAAGTAAGACAAATCGGCCGGGCTTGGTGGCTTACGCCTGTAATCCCAGCACTTTGGGAGGCTGAGGTGGGTGGAACATGAGGTCAGGAGATCGAGACCATCCTGGCTAACACGGTGAAACCCCATCTCTACTAAAAATACAAAAAATTAGCTGGGCGTGGTGGCGGGCGCCTGTAGTCCCAAGCTACTCAGGAGGCTGAGGCAGGAGAATGGCGGAATGGCGTGAACCTGGGAGGTGGAGCTTGCAGTGAGCCGAGATCGCCCCGCTGCCCTCCAGCCTGGGCGACAGAGCAAGACTCCGTATCAAAAAAAAAAAAAAAAAGAAAAGT
The DNA here is from genome assembly GCF_000001405.40 of Homo sapiens. Lineage (NCBI taxonomy): Eukaryota > Metazoa > Chordata > Mammalia > Primates > Hominidae > Homo > Homo sapiens. Next base: position 39,511,260 of record NC_000008.11, read on the forward strand.
AAGACAAATCACAGACAGGGCCAAAATATTTGCAATGCACATGTTTGACAAAGGTCATATTCAAAATATAGAAAACTTAAAAATCAACAGTAATCAGCAACCTTAAACTCCAAACTCTCAGATTTCTGCTTGGTTCCACGTCTGGATGCTATGGTCCAGACTATCTACAGTAGGGGGCAAACTTAAACATGAAATTCACCTCCTGTGCTTACATTCTCTCAGGTACAAAATTCCTAATGGGCCTATTGTCACATATCTCAAAACGGGTGCCTCACGTATTTTTCTTTTTCTGACTTCTAATTGTAATTTGGTAGGGAGGGAAAATCCTTTACCAGTTACCATACCGTAGATTTCATCATCTCTCAGTTCCAATATAGCAATAGAGTGTGACCAGTCATTGCCTTTCACTTCCTCCCAGTCACGTGAATAAATGTCTTACAGAGTAATAAATACCTTACAGGGTGTAATAAATATCTTACAGGGTAAAGTGAATTTTCTCACATAATTTCAAACCTTTCTTGACTCTTTAATGTCTTTCAGCCTGTAATCCCAGCACTTTAGGAGGCTAAGGCAGGCAGATTACTTGAACCCAGGAGCTCGAGACCAGCCTAGGGAACATGGTGAAACCCCCACTCCACTAAAAATACAAAAATTATCTGGGTGTGGTGTTGGTACCTACAGTCCCAGCTACTTGGGAGGCTGAGGTGGGAGGATCACCCGAGTCTGGGAGGCAGAGGCTGCAGTGAGCCAAGATTGCACTGGGGTGACAGAATGAGCCCTCATCTCAAAAAAAAAAAAAAAAAAAAAAAAAAAAAAAAAAAAAAAGAAAAGAAAAGAAAAAGAAAAAGAAAAAGCTTTTCTGATATAACTCAAATTCTGCGGTTTCACATGTGGACCTATTAAGGTTTGGTACACTGTCTACTTTCTCGCATTCTCACTCTCACCAGTTCCCTGGAGTCTTTCTGTACGGTAATGTCTACGATTTTCTCCACTGCCCAGGCCCTCTCATATATCAATTGAAACTTCTCAGTGTGTCTTAGCTCCTTCAGACACCTTTTTTCCCCTAAAACTCCTACTAATACTTTCAGACATACAAAGTTTAAATGTCCTTTTTGGAGAAATGATTCCTAAGTTCCCAATTTTCAAAAAAGTAGTTGTTCTATTCAATATGCTTTCATAGTAATTGCCACATTATATTTAATTTTGTAATCTGTTTTCTCAATAATTATGTGGGCCATAAAGCATTCATTTCCTCCTCAACAATGGCACCTTAACCACATAAAAAATGTAAATTTACTTGGCAGAAACCAAAACTTACCTTTGAAAATGAAGAATCTGCATACAATGTTCCTGATTTGTTGTATAAATACACCAGGAAATGTGGGTGTAAAAATGACCTAATTCAATCAAAATAATGACACTTCATTGTAATTATGTCATTAATTAAAAAATAACTTCCAGAATAATAAAATTAAACAAAATTTACTTTCAATACAAACATCTAAAAATGAAATGGACTTATCTCTATATTAACTTGCTGCTTTTTGATAGCATATTGTGAATATAAGAAAGAATAATAACCAGTATAATCAGAAAAATGTGTGGATGCTTTAATGAATTTAAAATAATCATCTAGGGCCAGGTGCAGTGGCTCACACCTGTTATCCCAGCACTTTGGAAGGCCAAACCTGGAGGATTGCTCGAGCTCAGTAGTTCAAGTCCAGCTGGGGCAACATATGGAGACCCCTCATCTCTACTAAAAATAAAAATAAAAATAAATTGGTGGGTCATGGTGGCATGTGCCTGTAGTTTTAGCTATTTGGGAAGCCAAGGTGAGAGGATGGCTTGAGCTCAAGAAATCTAGGCTGCAGTGAGTTATGATTGCACCACTGCACTCCAGCCTAGGTGACTGAGTAAGACCCTGTCTCAAAAATAAAATAAAATAAAATAAAATATAAAATAAAATAAAATAAAATAAAATAAATGAAATGAAATGAAATAAAAAAATAAAAAAATAAAATAAAATAAATAAATAAAATAAAATCAAATAAAATAAAATGGCCGGGTGCAGTGGCTCATGCCTGTAATCCTAGCATTTTAGGAGACCGAGGCAGGCAGATCACAAGGTCTAGAGATTGAGGCCATCCTGGCCAACATGGTGAAACCCCGACTCTACTAAAAATACAAAAATTATCTGGGAGTGGTGGTGCGTGCCTGTAATCCCAGCTACTTGGGAGGCTGAGGCAGGAGAATCACTTAAACCCAGGAGGTGGATGTTGCAGTAAGCCAAGATCATGCCACTGCACTCCAGCTTGGTGACAGAGCGAGACTCTGTCTCAAAAAAAAATAAATAAATAAAAATAAATAAATAAAATCACTGACAGACACAGATTTATGTACAGTAATAAGTAGGTCTGCCAGATTTCAAAAGGGGTTTTCTTTTAGATTCAACTGTAATTTTATGGCTCATATACCTTAGTTAGTATTTGTTAACAAGTAACAATAGATTTTATATATTTACATTAGTTTTCATGGTGTTATACTTTGGTAAAAACAACCCCAAAATTCTTAGTGTCATAAAACAGCAATGAGTGTCCTTCGCAAGTTTACTAAAGATTCGGCTCCATCCTGCCTTCCTTCTGGAACCTAGGAAAAGGCATAGCCCCTCCCTGAAACAGTCTCAAAATGACAACCTGAAATTAATCACTAAAATGAATCACAGAGAAGATATACAATGTTAAATAAATCTAATATTCAGTCTCTTATTTAAGCTCAATTTAGGGTAGTGATTGTAAAAATTTAAGACACTAAAAATAATGAATGAAAAAAATGGTAACTTACTGTTTTTCAAGCAGGAAGTGTATGGTTTCCCCTCAATTTTGATGGAATAAGTGGCCTGTAGCAAAATATTCAGAGAGAAAGTAATTGGTAGAGATTCTAACTTCTTAAATGTTGCAGTTCCTTGAAACATATATTCATTCATATGAATGTAGGTTATATCCTGCATGTATCAAAATTGGAATGTATAACAGAATTAATTGTAATTTAAATAAACACAAGGAGTCTAAATTTCAAAACTCAGATCATTAATCATTAGCATGTATTATTATGAGATTTGAAGTCAAAATGGGGATTATGTTTAGAAATGCTGAGAAACAGTTGAAAAAACTTGAATTTTGTTATCTTTGTTCTATTTTGCAGCTCTCAGCACAAATAAATTGAAAATAAAATAATGCAGCACAGGTTCCCAGTTAAGAATAAAATAATTATTGCCCAGCTGCCAGAGGTACTACCCACAGGCAATCCTCATCTCCTTACCCACTTTGGCTATTGCCTTAGCTCAAAAGAGTCATCTTATACAAAGTCACAACTTTCTGGGACAGCCCACATTTAATTAGAAGCCCCTCCATTTAATGGAGGTTTCTTGTTTCAGATAGATTTAGTATGGTCTTCCAAAAAGATTAAATGTGGTGATATCTTCATGATAAATTGATATTTGTATCAATAATAAAAGTCCCTTTCATTTCCAGAATGGTTTAAGGCAATTTTATTTTTTTCAACTTTATTGAGCTACGACTGAAAAACAAGTTTTATTATTTATTTAAAGTGTATATAAGATGTGTATGATGTTTTAACATACATATACATTGTGAAATGATTAAAACAATCAAATTACTGTATCCATCACCTCACATAGTTACCATTTTATCATTTGTGGTGAGACATTTGAGATCTATTCTTAGCAAATGTTAAGTAAACAAAACATTATTATTAACTATAGTGACCATGATGTGCATTAGATCTTCTGAATTTATTAATCTTATAACTCAAAGTTATAACTCAAAGTTATAAGATTATATAAGAAATTAATAAATTTTAAACATATTTGACCAATATCTTCTCTTTTCATTCACACTTCCAACCCCTGGTGACTACCATCTAATTTCTGTTACTATATGTTTGACTTTTTTTAAGATACTACATATAAGTGAGATAATGCAGTATTTGTCTTTGTGTGTCTGGCTTATTTCACTTAGCATAATGTCCTCCAGGTACAACCAGGTTGTTACAAATGATGGATGGCAGGATTTCCTTCTTTTTACAAACTGAATACTTTCTGTTGTTTGTCTATTTATCGATCAACTGATCGATCATCTATCAATCTACATTTTCTTTATCCATATACCCAGAGATTAATGCCATACTCTTTTGATTATGATAGATATATAATTTACTTTTAATATATTGTATATATTTAAAGTATACAACATAAGTTTTTGATAGTCTTATCTTGATATAGAAATAGATAAGTGATTTTTGCAATCAAGCAAATTAAAATATACATCATTCTAATATAGTTACTTTCTTTTATATTTTCCTTGTTGTTGTTTTGGTGGTAAGAGTACCTAAAATCTACTTATTGGCAAATTACCAGTATAAAACATCATATTGTTAACTGCAGTTCTTCTCTTGCACATTAGATTTCTTAGATGTTTTCATCCTATATAACTACAACTCTGTACCTTTTTACCTATATTTTCACATTTGCCCCTGCACTCTCCTCCTCACATTGAGTCCCTGGTAACCATTGTTTACTCCAAGCTTCTATATATGAAAATTTTTGAAATTCCACATATAGGTAAGATCAGGCAGAATTTTTCATTCTGTGTCTAGCTTATGTCACATAGCATAATGTCCTTTACCTTATTTCATGTTATCACAATGGTAGAGTCTACTTCTTTTTTAAGACAGAATAACATTCTATTTCATATATAAATATATACATACCACAATTTATCCATTCAGCTGTATATGGACATTTTGGTTATTTTCATATCTTGACTGTTGTGAATAATGTTCCAATGAACATGAGAGTGCAAATATCTTTATGAGGTAGTGATTTCATTGTAATATAATTGGAAATGAAGAAGTGTGATGGTGCATCAGGGTTTTTTACTCAGAATTGTTTTAACTATTTTGAGTCTTTTGTGGTTTCATGAGAATTTTAGTTTAGTTTTTTTTTTGTTTCTGTGAAAAATGCCATCGGAATGTCAATGGGCATTGCATCATTGCATTGAATCTGGAGGCTGCTTTGGGTAATATGCACATTTTAACAATATTAATTCTTCCAATCCATGAGTAAGGGATATCTTTCCATTTGTTTCTGTCTTTTTCAATTTTTCTTATCAATTTACAGCTTGCAGTTTTCAGCGTACAAATCTCTCACTACCATAGTTAAATTTATTGCTAAATATTTTATTCTTTTTAATGGTATTATAAATTTTTTTAAAAATTTATTCCTCAGCTAGTTTACTGTTAGTATGTGGAAATACAGCTGATCTGTTTTATGTTGGTTTTTGGATACTGCAACTTTACTGAATTCATATCTTTGTTCTAACCTTTTCTTCATGTAGAATGTTTAGGATTTTCTATGTATAAGATCATGTCATCTGATAATAGACAATTTCACTTGGAGGCATTTTATTTTATCTTCCTGAATAACCCTTCTGGTGCAACTTCCACCTATGGTGAAGTCCAAAGATAATGTTAGTCTTATCTCGCAAAGAGGCAAGTTTCTCTCATCTAATTGTAGGGGAAGGGCTATCCAAGAAAAGTAAGGTCAGAAGGACTTCCTAAGCTAGGGGCTTTACGTCAGGGCCTGCACGGGCACTTCCTCTCTCTTGGCAAAGACTGTGGTATCTCACAGGACACTTAAGGTGACTTAGGTCTTCCCTGCTTAAGACCAGTGGCTGCCATCCAAGTCCCATCTGTGTTTGGAGAAGGCAATACTCCATTTGGCTGTAGTTGGCAGCTCAGGCCTGGCTTGGGATTTTCCAAGTGTCCCCATCCCTTGGCCTCTTCACTGGAAGCACCACATCTCCTGTCACTTGCACACTCCGCCATTGACAGCATGCAACGATTTAGTTTTCCTGTGCTTGTTTCCTGAGAGCAAGGCATTGGCAGTTCTCAGATTTCTTTGAATAAATGTGGGGTGTTATGTAAGAAATGAAGCCACAGATACACTTATTTTATTTTATTTATTTCTTTTATTGAGACAAAGTCTCACTCTGTTGCCCAGGCTGGAGTGCAAGGGTGCTACCTTGCCTCACTGCAACCCCGCCTCTGGGGTTCAAGCGATTTTCCTACCTCAATCTCCCGAGTAGCTGAGATTACAGATGCATGCCACCACACCCAGCTATTTTTTTTTTTAAGCAGAGATGGGGTTTCATCATGTTGGCCAGGCTGGTCTCAAACTCCTGAGCTCAAGTGATCTGCCCACATTGGTCTCCCAAATTGCTGGGATTAGAGGCATGGCCACTGTGCCCGGCCTGATCTCTTTACCTTTTTCAAGCTGTTCTCCCCACACCTTCCCTTTCTTGCTTCAGAACATGCTCACAAAGGCCCCCTAAGCAGTGGGTACTGGAGATAGCAGAGTGAGCAAGGCACAGCCCTGCTAGGTGCAGTGTGGGTGGCAGACAAGGATATTGGAGATTACAATAACCCAGTCTCCTGGTGGAAATGCACAGGGGATGGACCGTGGGAATGCACAAAAATGTGGCCTAGCCCAGCCTTGAGAGGGTTTTGCAGGGGGGGCTTCGTGGGCCCCTGGGTGAGGATGTGAATTCCGGCTTCCACTGGGCCTACACTGAGTGGCCCCGGCCAGGAGGGGTCAAAAGACCTACAGGAAGAAACCGAGGCACAAAATACAATTTTAAAGACTGAGTTGAAGTGAGGACTGCTGTCGGGGACGCACTTCCAAGTTGTCTTTGGGAGTGGTCCACTTGGCCTTCGTTACAAGCAGATGAAGTTCAATGTTTAACAGTAGTGGTGAGACTGGGCACCAGTGTAGTTTTCATGATATTAGAGGAAAAGCTTTCAGCTTTTCCATATTGAGTATGATGTTAGATGTAGGCCTGTCATTTATGGCCTGTATTATTTTGAAGTAAATTCTTTCTGTACCCAATTAGTTGAGAATTTTTATCATAAAAGAATGCTGGATTTTGTCTAAAGCATTTTCTTTATCTATTGAGATGATTATATGATTTTTATCCTTTATTCTGTTAATGTGGCATATTTGTACTCATTTGCATATGTTTAACAATCCTTGAATCCCAGGAATAAATCCCAGTTGATCATGACATACAGTCCTTTTATTGTGCTGTTGAATTTGGTAGTATTCTATTGAGGATATTTGCATCTTTGACCAGGGATATTGGCTCACGTTTTTATTTTGGAGTATCTCAATCCAACTTTGATATTAGAGTAATATTGTAATACTGGCTTCATGAAATAAGTTTGGAAGTGCTCCTTCCTCTTCCATTTTTTGGAAAACTCTGAGAATAATTGTTATTTACTCTTTCTAAAAAAAAGTATTTGGTAGAAATCACCAGTGAAGTCATCTGGTCCTGGACTTTTCTTTGTAGGAGATTTTTGATTATTGATTCAGTCTTACTTGTTACTGATCTCCTCAGATTTTCTGTTTTTCATTATTCACTCTTCGTAGATTGTTTCTAGGATGCTGTCCATTTTTTCCAGGTTATGCAGTTTGTTGGCATAAAATTGTTCATAGCATGATGCTTTTACTTGGTGATGTCAATTGTTATGTCTCCTCCTTTATTTCTGGTATTGCATATTTGAGCCCTCTGCTTTTCCTAATATTGTTAAAGGTTTATTAATTTTATTTATATTTTTAAAAATATAACTCTTAGTTTTGTTACTCTATTCTATGGTTATTCTACTCTTTTCTTTTTTACCCTTTGTTTTCTTAGACCAATTGGTTGTTTAAGAAGGTGTTGTTTAATTTCCACTTATTTCGGAGTTTCCTATTTTTCCCTGTTTCTATTTGATGGAATGTTTTATAGAGGTCTTTTAGGTCCATTTGGTCTAAAGTGCAGTTTAAGTCTAAATGTTCCTTATTCATTTTCTGCTGTATACATCTATCCATGGTTGAAACTGGGGTATTGAAGTCCTCTGTTAATATTATTTCTCATTTCAATTCTGTTTAAATTTGCTTTATACATTTAGGGGGCTCTGTGCTGGGTGCATATACACTTTAAATTGTTGTATCTTCTTGATTAACTGGCCCCTTTATGATTACATTATGACTTTTTTGCCTTTTGCTACGGTTTTTGACTTAAATTCTATTTTTGTCTCATAAAAGCATAGAAACTCCTTTCCTCTTTGGATTTTGATTTCCATGCAATATCCTTTTCTATCCCTTCACTTTCGGCCCCTGCGTGTTCTTAAAGCAGAAGTGTGTCTCTCTCAAGCAGCATATCTTTGGATACTTTTAACCCATTCAGCCACTCTATGTCTTTTGAATGGAGAGTTTATAGTCCATTTACATTTAGAGTAATTATTGACATGAAGACTTACTATTGCCATTTTGATTATTGTTCTCTGGCTGTTTTATATGTTGTTTTGTGCATTCTTCCTCTCTTGCTGTGTTCCTCTGTGATTTGATGTTATCCTGCAGTGGTATCTCTTGATTATTTTCTCTTTAATTTTTGTTTATTTACTATAGATTTTTGCTTCATGGTTTACCATGAGGCTTACATAAACATATAGTTATATCAGGTTATTTTAAGATACTAGAAATTTAACTTCAATCACATACAAAAACTATGCAATATTACTTCTACACATACACATAATTTTATGTTATCTATGTCAAATTTTTCATCTTTTTATATTTTGTATTCATTAACAAACTATGGTAGTGATAGTTATTTTAACACTTTTGACTTTTAACCTTTATGTTAGAGTTATAAGTGATTCATACACCACTAATACAGTATTATAGTATTTTGAAATTGACTTATATTTACCTTTACCAGTGGGTATTACACTTTCATATGTGCTCCTTTTATAATTTATCCTCCTTTCATTTTAGCTTAAATAACTCCTTTTAGCATTTCTTATTAGGCAAGCCTAGTGGTAATAAACTTCCTCAGGCTTTGTTTGTACAGGATATTTTTTATCCCTCATTTCTGAATGAGAGGTTTGTCAGGTAAAATATTGGTTAATTATATATATTTTAGTTATATTCCTATGCACTTTTCAAGTGCATGTCAAATTTCTGTATGTAATTTATTTATCTTGTCCATCATGTATTGTGTAATATCCATTATCACTTATTTCTTCTTCACCCTGTGAAATATATAGAAGTACATCTACAAATTTCTAAATGCATTTTTGAGTTCCTTGTTAAGTTTTATTCTAATTGATTGTTACCATATAACTAGTTTTATACTACCAGTATTTGATTTTTAATTTTCTTTCTTTACTATCATCAATTTTGTTGACTGTTCTATATATTCTTCAGAAGAATATACATTACTTACAGTGGCATAGAGCTAAATTACAGCTGGATTGGCAAAGCTCTATCTTTAGATCTGGGGATCCCTACACATCTGGATATTTCAGATTCTTGTCCAAAACAAAGGCAGTGAGTGATATTTATAATGGGCTTTCAGAACTCAAAACGTCCCTGGCCAAGGAAGCCTCCTCAGTGTTTGCCTAATTATTTTGACAAGCCCTGCTTGACTATTTAAAGAGTCACTGAAAGATTTCAGCTGACTTCTCCAAAAGCCAAAATTTCTCCTGTAGTTCTTGTTGGTAGACTCAGTATGCTTTAGGAACACAGAGATTGTGTTTCTAAACAGGGAGCTCACAGTGAATGTTTCTTGGATTCATGTGTAATAAACTGTAGAGTCTAGTGAGTCCTAAAACATATCAGAACTGGAGAAAACAATATATTCACTCACTGGGTTCATGTTCTATATATATCCACTGGATAAAAATATTTTTGTTGTTCAAATTTTCTTTATCTTTATGAATTTTTTTATGATTTGTCAACCAACATTTGAGGAAAACATTTTAAGATCTCGCTATGGAAATGGATTTGACCATTTCTTCCTCTAGAGCTATGAATTTTCACTTTCTAGGTGCTGAATGCATTTTATTAAATTTATACAACTTCAGAACTGTTAAATGTTCCTAGTGAGCTGAATATTTCATCATTAAAAAACAATGCTTATCTCTCACAGTGGTGTGTGTGTGTGTGTGTTTGTGTGTGTTAGTGGAAATGAGAAAATTGAACAAAGCCTAGTGACAGTTCAAAAAGATATATATCACTATTGTTTGTTAATGAGAGTCAAATGTAATGCAACTTTTCTGGAAGATATTCTGCAATGTTTACAAAAAGTTGTAATGGCTTGCCCATTGATCTACATAAACAACTATCAAAGAAATTTTATGAAACTATCTACGAGTTGAAAATTTGATAAATGTTACATCCATATGACATATCATGAAGTCATAAAAATGACAGAGCCATATTAATTACCATAAAAGTAAATCCAATATTTATAAATAAATGAAAAAGTCAATCGCAGTCATATATAATCGTTAAAAATATATGTGTGCATGTGCATGTGTGTTTAAATATTCATTTAGTATAAATTTATTATTTTTAGAGACTGGTGTGGACATTCACTGTATTCAGCATTCTCTGTATTACCTCAATTTAATTTTACAACATACCTACTTTCCTGTTCTAATCAGATGAAAGATGACATTACTTTCATTTACAAAGGATTTATATATACATGTATAGGCATGAAGATAGTCTTTATATATTATCATGTTAAAAACATGTTGCTTGGTAAATATTAGTATGACCTCAACTATATAATAACACAGATTTAAATGTACATATTTTCTAAAAGAACCCAGTAGACTGAATATGGTTCCTTTGTGTTATAGGAATTTGGGGATTCTTTTCCTGAATCTCTGTTTTAAAACAGTTATCTAACATTCATATATTGAGAAATGAAAAAAATATCAAAGTCTTGCTGTCATTCAGACCAAATGACTCCTTAGCACGGTAAATTAGAACACAAACTAAATTTCACAAAGGGATATGTATGAATTGATTGGGGCCATGTAGTCCAGAAAAAACAAAACACCATAATTTTAAAAGGTGATCTCTTAATTACATGCGTTTCTGAAACATCACCATCATTGGTGTTTGTCTGGATCTTCTGTGGTACTGTAATTTGCAGAACTGGTGTTTCAGAATCTGCATGAGGAAAAGCATATGTGAGCATTCCCAGTGTATTCATGTCACAGTGTCCTTTCTTATCACTCTTTAAGCTTCCATCACACACACACACACACACACACACACACACACACACACACACACACACACACGAGTCCAGTTCCAGGAAGACGCTCCTCCAGGCGTGGGAGGTTTACCCTAGCTCTGCCCAAGGACACTTCAGGGTTTGGTGACTTCAGCCCTGCGTGGGAGAAGTGTGGGCTGCTGCTCCCAGACCCCATCCGGCATCCCCACTTCCCACTGCAGCCTGGGGTCCGACACTTGTAAGCAGTTCTGGGGCCCCCTTCCCAGCCTGGCCTGCGCTTCTAGGCCTTGCCAAAGGCGAAAGCGGAAAGGCGGCCTCCTCTCCTGCAGGGCTCTTTACTTACGTGGGCCCGCGGAGGTCAGCCGGCCCAGGCCTGAGAGGATCAGCAAGAGAGACAGCATTGCGTAGCCGGCGGCCCAGCCACAGGGATGGCCGTTGTCCTTGGAACGGCTGCAGCTCGAGGCCAGGGTGGTGGAGGCCGAGCGGAGCGGAAGGGCCGTGGGGTCCGCGGGGCGCGGCGGGGACCCAGCTCCGTGGATCCCGAGGCGGGTGGATCCTACAGCCCCGCGCGCCCACCCACAGTGGGCTGCACCGGAGGAGGCACGTGGGAGCCTGCATTTCTGGGTACGTGGGCTCTTTTTTCTAAAGAGTTGACATTTACAACGCATTCAGGGGTAACATAGGGTTATAAAGCACATTTCTACTCTAGACCTTTTGCTGATGAAGCCTTGGCAATATGATTGTTCAACATCATAGCCTTCTGGGAAGACAGTTGAATTACTGTAGTGAAGGAAAACAGAAAAAAAAAAAATAAGAATCATAGTATGTTTAGCAGCAGCCAATTGCCAATTTTAGTAATATCTACTTCTAGTTTTCTGCTCTTAAGACTCAGGTGAAAACACAAACAGATACTAAAAACTAAAAAATCAATTTCTTAGAAAACTGTCTAAGGAGTTTAAGTAAAATGCGAAATATGGATATATGGATGTATTTTATTATTTTAGTACGATTTATAAGTATCAGGCAAAAAAATCACACCTATAAAATTACTTCATAAAAACAATCAAAATCCATTTATTTATTGACTTTTCCACACTTTTGTTTCTTAGAAAAGCTTTATGGCTTAGGGAGACTTAATGAAAAGCCAGACATATTTTCCCCCATCAATATGGAGTTCACACAAGGAATGATAATATAGTTAGTTGGAAATAATTTTATTTTATCTCTTACTGTATAAGTAGGTGGTTTGCCTAATTTCAATTTTTTTTCAATTTATTATTTATTGTAACATTTGTATTGTAGTAAAATACACAATATAAAAATTATGATCTTAATGCTTTTTAAGCCTACTTTTCAGTGGAATTAAATACATCCATATTGCTGGGCAACCATCACTATCATTCACCTCCAAAACTTTGGATTTCACCAATTTTTACATAAACTGACTTGTTTGTGATTTCGTGTATTGATTTGTGTACCCAATACAAAAATTGACATACATATTGACATACAGAACTATTTCATGACCACAAGGAACCTATATACTACGGCTATAGAGTATACTGACCTACCTTACTCGTAATTCCTAGTCACTGGCAAACACTAATCCAGTCTCCACAATCCATCTCCATAATATTATTTTTGATACTATATATAAGAAGCATTATATAGTATCTCTTGAAATTTGTTTTTTCACTCATATCATTCCCTTGAGATACATCAAATTTTTTTCTTGTATTAATAATTCATTTTGTTACTTCTGAGTAGTATACATAATACAAATGTTCCACAGGTTATTTAACCATTCATCCATCAAACAATATTTGGGTAGTTTCCAGTTTTTAAATTTGCAAAAAACATTGCTATGAATGTTCATGTACAAGTTTTTATATATAAATCAAATTATACATTAGTTAGACTAAGTGAGAAAACAGTAGACTGAAATAAATGAAAATTCGAAATAAATGAAGAGACATCCCAACTGATACCACAAAAATAGAAACGATCATGAGGGAATACTATGAACATTTATATGCCAAGAGGTTGGATAAAGAAGGAGAGATAGATACTTTTTCACATGCATACAATCTATTAAGATTGAATCATGAAAAATAGAAAATCTGAGCAGGCCAATAATGAATAAGAAGATTGAATTAATAATAAGAAGACTCCCACCAAATAAAAGTGCAAGACTTTATAGCTGAATCTACCAAACATCTGGAGAATTGATACCAATCCTTCAAAACTCTCCTGAGAAATTGAAGAAGAGGCAATTCTTCCAAACTCACTTTAATAGACAAACATTATTCTGAAACCAAACCCAGACAAGGGAATCACAAAGAATGAAAACAACAGGTAGACCGTGGTGGCACACACCTGGAATCCCAGCAATTAGGGAGGTTGAGACGGGTGGATCACCTGAGGTCAGGAGTTCGAGACCAGCCTGGCCAACATGGTGAAACCCTGTCTCTACGAAAAATACAAAAATTAGCCGGGCATGGTGGTGGGCACCTGTAGTCCCAGCTACTTGGGAGGCTGGGGCAGGAGAATCACTTGAACCCAGGAGGCGGAGGTTGCAGTGAGCCGAGATCGTGCCACTGAACTCCAGCCTAGATGACAGACCAAGACTCCCTCTTAAAAAAGAAAAAAAAAAAAAAAACTACAGGCCACTAGTCCTATAAACATGGATGCAGAAATCCTCAACAAAATACTAGCAAATCAAATTTAACAGTATATTAAAGGGGTCGTCCACTGTGATCAAGTGGGATTTATTCCTAGGATACAAGGATGGTTCACAATACACAAATGAATTTATATAATATACCACACTAACAGAATGAAGTACAGAAACCCTATGATTATTTCAAAAGTTGCATACAAAGCATTTGAGGAAATTTATTCATCCTTTTGTAAAATACTCTGATCAAATTAAGTATAGAAGGAATGTTTCTTTATTCAATAAAGGCTATGTATGACAAACACAGGGCTAACATCATAATCAATAGTGAAAGGTTGAAAGATATTTTTTCTCTGAGATTAGAAACAAGACAAGGATATCCACACTCTTCACTTTGTTCCAACATAATATCATTTCTGGTCACAACTAGGCAAGAAAAATTTAAAAATGCATTCTAATGGGAAAGGAAGAAGTGAAATGGACTCTTTGTAAATGACATGATATCATATCTAAAATTATATGTTTTATGGATATAATTTATATATATTAAAACATATAAATATGTATATATTTAATATATAAGTATATATAAAATTATATATAATTTATAATTTTAAATTAATTTAAAATTAAAGACTCCACCAAAAAACTGATAGAACTAATAAACCAATTCAGTAAAGATGCAGAATATAAAATCAGAGTATAAATATCAGTAGTGTTTGTATGCATTAACAAAAAACTGTGCAAAAAAAAGGGATTTAAAAATTAGCCTCTTTATTAAAATACTTGGGAATAAATTTAACCAAGGATGTGAGAGATCTGTGTGCTGGAAATAATAAAACATTAGTGAAAGAAATTGAAGAAGATACAAATAATTGGAAAGATATTCCTTGTTTATGGATTGGAAGAATTAATATGTTAAAATCTCAACGATACCCTAAGCAGTCTACAGATCAGTGCAACCCCTATCAAATTTACAAGAACATTTTCCACAGAATGGAAAAAACAATGCTAAAATTTTTATATACAACAAAAGACCTCAAATCATCAAAGAAATCTTGAGCCAAAAGGACAAAGCTGAAGATATCACACTGCTTGTTTCAAAATATATTACAGAGCTATGGTAATCAAACCTTCATGGTTCTGTCATAAAAACAGACTGATTAAAAAATGGAACAGAATAGATCCCAGAAATAATCCCCACAAAATTTTGGTCAATTGATTTTTGAGAAAGGTGCCAAAAACATATACTGGGGAAATTACAGTTTCCTCAATAAATTCTTTTGGGAAAACTTCATATCCACATGCAGAAAAATGAAATTGGATCCATATCTCATAACATATACAAAAATAAACAAAAATTGCATTAACGACATAATGGTAATATCTAAAATTGTAAACTATTAGGAAAACACAGGGGAGGAGCTCCACAACATTGGTTGGGGAATAGTTTTTTGAGAACTGCATCAAACTAAAAAGCTTTTTCACAGCAAAGAGAAACAACACAGTGATGACATATTTTCTGATTGGCAGAAAATATTAGTAAGCTATAAATCTGATAAGCGACGATTATCCAAAATATGTTGGAAACAACTCAACAGCAAGAAAACAACCTGATTTGGGCAAAGTATCTGAGTATAGACATTTCTCAGAAGAAGACACACAAGTGGCCAAAAAGTATATAAAAATATGCACAAAATCACCAATCATCCAAGAAATGCAAATTAAAATCACAATGAGCTATCACCTCAGACATGTTAAAATAGGTATTATCAAAAAGACAAAAGATAACTAGTGACAACAAGGATGTGGATAAAATAAAACCCTTGTTCATTGTTGGTGGAAATGTAATTTAGTGCAGCCATTATGGAAAACATTATGGAATTTCTCAAAAATATTAAAACATAGCTACCATATAATCCAGCAATTATACTTCTGGGCATATATCCAAAGAATTTAAAATCAGTATATTAAAGAGATATCTACACCAATTTTCATTTCAGCATTACTTACAATAGCCAAGATTCATCAACAGATGAATGGATAAAGAAAATGCCCAGTATTTATTTCTCCTATTCCATTGTCCACAATGGAATACTTTTCAGCCTTAACAAAATGAGAAAATTATGTCATTTGCAACAACATGGAGGAAGCTTGAGGACATTATGCTTAGTGAAATAGGCCAGGCACAGAAAGACAAATATTGCATTATATCACTTATATATGAAATCTAGAAAAGTCAAACTTAGAATTAGGGAACAGAATGATGGTTACCAGAGTTTGGAGGTAAAGAAGTGGAGAGATTTTAGTCAGAGGGTACAAAGTTTCAGTTAGACAGATGGAATGAGGTTTTGAGGTCTATCATACAGTATGCTGAATATAGTTAATAATAATGTAATTCATATTTCAAAAATGCTATTAGAGTAGATTGCAATTTTTCACACCACAAAAATAATTATGTGAGGTGATGAATATGTAATTTATCTTAAGTATTCCATAATGTATGCATATATAAAAACATCATATTGTACCCATAAATAAATATATTTATTTTATTTAAAAATTAATTACAAACACCCAATCTGTAATGTGAAAGTCACTTTTAAGGAAGTAGAGAAAAAAGTAAATTAAGAAAGCAATGATACAAAACCAATGGGAAAGAAAATCTAATGACATGTGATGGTTAATTTCATGTGTCAATTTTGGTAGGCCATGTTGCTCAGATATTTGGTCAAACATTATTCTTGGTGTTTCTATGAGAGTGCTTTAAATGTGGTTCACGCTGGCGGACTTTGAGTAAAGTGGATTGTCCTCCATAATGTGGGTTGGCCTCATCCCATCTGTTGAATACTGGAGAGAATGAAAAGACTGACCTTCCTCCAACAGGAACTTCAGCATCAGGTCCTTTTGCGTTTTCAGCCTGATAGCCTCTGGACCTCAATTGTAGCATCAACTCTTCCTCTCTCCATCCTGCTGGCCAACTCTGCTGATTTTGAACACGTCAGCCTCTGTAATCATATAAGCCAATTCCTTATGATAGACAGCTTTCTATTTATATAAACCTCCTATTGATTCTGTTTCTCTGGAGAACCCTGACTAATATAGTAAGAAAAACTAACAATGGCAGTTCAAGATAAGTGAAATTATCATGAATAAAGTAGCATGAAAACTATTCCAAGTTATTAAAGAATAGAAGTTTATTGAAATAAAGGTGCCCTGAATGAGAAAAAAAATTTCAAGAAACTCTGATAAAAACTTATATCACTGAGGTATAATGAAATTAATATATTGGACTTTGTAATTAAATAATGAAAAATCCTATGGGCATCTTGGCCACAAAGAAAGTCAATAATGAGGTTAGGAAAACTGACTCGTGTTGGGCTTTGACAAAATGGAGTGCTTACAAGTGAGTCAAATAATTTCTATGAACTTAGTAGAGGACATACAGTATCTCAACAATGTTTTACACAGTCAAATTCACATTGTAGTATAAACATTCTCACTTTTTCAAGAATTCTAAGACTGCAATATCTATGGAACTTTGTGGCAATGTTACTTAAATCAATACAGCCAAACAGGAACCGAAATACACAATTTAACAGATACATGTAGAAAATCGGTGGGATCATAACGATAGTTCCAGAAAAAATCATTTGGAAAAATTCCACATCCATTCATGATTAAAAAGTATGAATAGAGAACTTTATTGGGCCCAGAGTGGTGGCTCACACCTGTAATACCAGCACTTTGGGAGGCCGAGGTGGCCGATCACCTGAAATCAGGAGTTTGAGACCAGCCTGGCCAACATGGTGAAATCTCATCTCTACTAAAAATACAAACGTTAGCTGGGCATGGTGGCATGCGCCTGTAATCCCAGCTACACGGGAGGCTGAGGCAAGAGAATCGCTTGAACCTGGTAGGTGGAGGTTTCAGTGAGCCAAGATTGTGCCACTGCACTCCAGCCTGGGGGACAGAGCGAGACTCCATCTCAAAAAAAAAAAAAAGAAAGAAAGAAAGGAAGAAAACTATTGATCTAATTAAGAACATCTATGAGAAACCTACAGCTAACATAATAAATGTAAATGACTGAATGTTTTCCACCTGCTATAAACTGCATGTTTATGTACCCCACAAATCCACATGTGGAAACTCCCCCAAAAAGATGGGATTAGGAGGTCAGACTTTGGAAGGTAATTAGATTAGTTGATAAGAACCCAGCCCTCCTGATGGAATTAATTTTCTTACAAAAAGAGGGCAGCATTCAGAGGATCTTTATCTCTGCTCTCTGCCATGTGAAGACACAAAGAGAAGACAGCAGTCTGCAAGCCAGGAAGAGAATTCTTACCAGATATCAGATCTATGAGTGCCTTCATCTTGAACATTTTTGTCTGAAGAAATGTGAAAAAGCATGTTTGCTGTTTAAGCCACCCAGTCCATGTATATTTGTTACAGCAATTTAAACTAAGATGGGATTGGGATTACTACTTCCATTCAATATTTTACCAAAGTTTCCAGTGTAACACGAAAAGTAACAATAATAAAGGGCATAGAGTTTAAAAAGGAAATGGTAATCCTACTTATCTGGATCCTTACTCTCCACATAAAAAATCCTAAAAAGTCACCACTAAAAGTACCAGGACTAATAAGAATTTAACAAGTCACATGAAATAGAGGAATTAGCATTGTTAAATTGTTCATTATTCCCAAATTGATCTGTAGATTCAGTGCAATACTAATGGGAATTCTAGGAAGCATTTTTTTTTGTAAAAATTGGTTATCAAATTCATAAAGAAATTCAAATATCCTAGAGTAGTCAAACAGTTTTATAAGGTAGAATAAGAAGGACAACTTGTATTTTTCTTAAAAGGAAAGGAGAACATACTTCTTAAAAGACCAGATTGTAAATATCTTAAGCTTGTGAGAAATGTGGTCTGTTGAATCCACTTCATTCTGCCTTTGTAACATGAAAGCTGCATAAATGATATGTAAATAAATGATTATGGCTGTGTTCCAATGAAATATTATTTTGAAAACAGGGCCATAGTTTGCTGACCCCTGCATATTGTGTTATTGGCATAAGAATAGACATATAGAACAGTAAAACAGAATGGAGAAATCAGAAGTAGACCTATATATTATTGGTTGACTTTTTACAAAGGTGCAAGGACTTTCAAAGGGTAAAAAATTATCTTTTCAACAAAGGATGCTGGAAGAATTGTATACCATATAGAATAAAATATACTTTGACTCATGTAGAAAATGAATTAGACATAGACTTATATGTCAAGGCTAAACAAAATTTCTAGTGGAAACTTTAGGAAAAAACAAATTAGTGGGTCACAAACATGTGAAAGATATTCAACATCATTACTCATCAGAGAATGGCAAAGAAAACCTCAGTGAGCTGTCAATACAGACCAACAAGAATAAATATAACAAAAAAGACTGACAATACAAAATATAGGTAAGGATGTGGAGCAATGGGAATTGATTTATTCTTGTTGAGAATGAAAATGATCAAACACTTAGGAAAGCGATTTGGCTTATTTGTACTATTTATACACTCACAATTACCATATGACTCAGGTATTCTATTTATACATATTTACCAAGAAAAATAAGAACACATAACTGCACAAAGACCTGGATATTCAGAGAGGCTTTATTTATAATTGCTAAAATGTGTTAGTAATCCAAGTGACCATCACCAGGTGAATGTGTAAACAAATTGTGATGTATCTATAAATGGTACACTACTTAGCAATAAAAACTAATGGACAACTAGTAATCACAACATTGATGAATACTGAGTGAAAGAAGCCAGATATTTTAAAAGTGCATGCCATATGATTCCAGTTATATGAAATTTCAGAACAGATTATTGATAGTAAGAGGAAGCAGATCATCTGTTGTCTTGAATCATGTGATCTATTGACACAGTAGAGGATGTTGGAAACATTCTTTATCTTAGTTGTGAAAAATGCATATGTAGGAGTGTACTGCAACTCTTATAACTTTATACTTAAACCTGATGCATTTTATTGGAACATAAAGCTCAACAAAGTTAATATAAAAGTTATAAGTATAAAAATGATGAGAAAAGAGAGACATCATTTGGGGTAAAGTTGTTTAGCTTAAAGGTAAGGGTGATACCTTACAGAGTACCCACGAATTTTTCAGAGGATGGAAACATTAAATTCTCTCATTTTTTGAAGACATTAATTAGGAAGAATATAAAATTAAAGCTTCCTGTTGTTTACTAAAATTCTTATTTGGACTCTGACCTGCTTATTTACTAAGTAGATATGCATCCCCTTATTTTCCTATGATCTACATCTATATCTATTGTCAGAGCTATAGCTATATCTATGTGTCTGTATCTGTGTTTGTATAGAACTGTATCTACTTTACCTCTGTGCAGGTGTGTATACATATATGGTATATATAAATATATAGCATATAATAATTTCAATGTAAAATTTTTGAAATTGGTTTAATTCGTGTACTCTGTTTCACAGAAAGAGTCACATGTTGCACTATTGAAAAGAACCCTGAAAATACAAATCATTATGGATAAAGCTTTGGTATGCATTACTGATATATTTCATTATATCTTTGTTTTTTGTTTAAAATCAGGAGGAATATGCAAAAGAAATTTCTATTGTTTGCAATGCAGGCATATTTTACTCTGTTCAAAATATGTGTCTCGGTAAAACAGGACATTAAGAAATGTTATCAATGGTCTTTATATTGACATCGGGAGATATATTTAGGTATTGATTACCAAATTCATATAAAAGTCTAGCAATAATGTACACATTTTTACAGAAGAGCTCTACCACACTATAATCTACTGGATTATAACTAGTAGCAGATATTCTGGATCCACTTCAGCTCTTAGATGAAGCCTTTTACCTAAATTGATTATCATTTTAAAACAAGCTATTTCACTTATTCAATTGGAAATCTTTCTCATTAAATACTATATGTATCAAAATTATGATATGCTTTATAATTGCTCGAGTTCTCTTTTAGCGGCTCTGTATTTTAAAAATGAGAAGAATTATTTATAAGAACATTCAGGTTGCTACAGAAATTATTGTTTACATCAATCAGTTTCAGCAAGAACTTATTGTCAGTAAGTTAAATTAACTGATTTGTTCATTATCATTGATATTTTTGCATAAAGTCTCTTAATGAGTGTCAGAATGTTCTAAATTTTGTTCCTAAAACAAAATGTTTGTATAACTTAATACATTTTTATAAAAATAATAATAGAAAAATATAGATGAATAAAATAATTTATGACAAGGTGATAAATTATATGCATATATTTCTGTTTTTCATATAATGTATATATACATAAACCTTTATTTTATATATGCTATTTTATGAACTGTTTTATAATGTTTTCCCTCATATTCATTAAATACATCATGTCAATTTAATTTCAATATTTATATATTGTCTATTTAATATGTTTAATGGAATTTAATCTATTTTACTAGCAAATGCCTTTCAGGACATTTAGATTTTATTATTATTGTTATTACATGAGGAATAATACTCTTTGGCAGAAAAACAAGATCACAAGCATTGAAATTGTGCTTTGCCGCAGCTAAAATTAAATCCATCAGCCTACTTTCCTGTCCCCACTTAGCCATATACCTTCTTACCATCCCAGTAACAATGGAAACCATTTTTAATGAAAAAGCCATCCTTCAAAAACAACCAGAGAGTTTTTTTGAAATAATATCCTATGATTAGTATTTCCCCTCTTTTTATTTTAAACTTATCTATCTTTAGTTTTAAAGTATAACACTGGGAAACAGCATATTGATTGACAGTCTTTGTCCCTCCCTATCTAGTGAGATAACCCCTGCCTTTTCATTAGAACCTTTAGTTGGTTTATGTTTATCAAAAGTACTGATAACTATATATGTAAGTTAAGTTCTACTTTGCTATTAGTGTTCTTTTTTTCAAATCACTTATTTGCTGCTTTGTTCCTTGTTTCCTACCCGTGGGTTATTGGCTTATTTTTAGTACTTATTTTTATCTTTTATACTGATTTTTTTTTTTTTGCTATCTTCTGTTTCCAGACCTTCATCCCAGCAGTTTTTCTAGTTGCTACAATTAGCACTCTTATCATTATCTAGAATTACCACCTCATATATGATGTAAGAGCCATAAAACAGTAAAGCTTCATTTAACCCAAATCAGTCATTGTTATTATTGTTATTTTGTTGTTATATATATATATATATATATATATATATATATATATATATATATATATATTTTTTTTTTTTTTTTTTTTTTTTTTTTTTTGAGACAGAGTTTGGCTCTTGTTGCCCAGGCTGGAGTACAATGGCACAATCGCAGCACACTGCAACCTCCGACTCCGGGGTTCAAGCAATTCTCCTGCCTCAGCCTCCTGAGTAGCTAGGATTACAAGCATGCACCACCATGTCCGATTAATTTTGTATTTTTAGTAGAGATGGGGTTTCTGCAAGTTGGTCAGACTGGTCTTGAACTCCCGACCTCAGGTGATCCACCTGCCTCGGTCTCCCAAAGTGCTGGGATTACAGGCGTGAGTCACTGTGCCCGGCCCATTGTAATATATTTTCATTCTTATGTGTCATAAATTCACAAGAAATTAATTTTTAATTGAGTAGTTGTTGTTTAAAGAAATTAAAGAAAGAATATATTTTATGTTTCTCCACATATTTACCATTTCCAAGGCTTTTAATTCCTTCTAATAGGTCTGTGTTTCTGATATGTATCTTTTGACTGTTGAATTCTCTTTAGCTTTTGTTTGTCTGAAATTATCTTTACTTGTTAAATACTTTACTTGTAAATAACATCAACTTTCAGAAAAGTTGCAACATTGAGAATTATACAAAGAATGCCTCTATTCTCTTTATCTATATGATTTGTTAATTTGTATCTTATTATCACTTTGCTCTCTCCATGTAAAAGCAAGTTGTATATTGCATCATGGAGCATTATTCTCAAATATTTCAGAGTGTATTTACATAGAACAAGAACGTTATCTTTTATAATCACAGTGGAGTTATATGCCTCAGAAAGAATAGCCACATACTTTTATCTTCTATCACTTCATTGCTCTGTAGTTGGATAATATAAGTGATACGATGTATTATATTTAAAGAAGCTGTTTTATGGTCTAACATGGATCAGTTTAAATAAGACTTTCATATATGTTTGAAAAATATATATAATCTCTGAAGCTTACATATATGTGTATGATATCCGCCATTTGCTTGGGTTTTAAAATCTTGTGTATTGTTACCGTTAATTCATCTGCCTGATCTATTAGTTATTGAGATAAATGCATAGCAATATCTCACTCTAATAGTCAATTCCTATTTATTATTTTATTAGTTTCTTTCATGTATTTTATAGCCATATTATTAGGTATAAGTAAGTTTAGAATAGGTTTTTCTGATGAGTTGAATATTTTTATCAATATGTTGTGATAAGCATGTCCATTTTTTGCCTTTAAGCTCTATAATAGTTATATATTAAACACAACTATTAATATATAACTATCAATGTAACTATTATGTTAACTAATATAACTATCATATAACATAAAATGCTTATTTTCTAGTATTTTTCTGGTATATTGTCATCCTTTAGCTCTTAGTATTTCTGTGTCCTTATGTTTTCAGGGTTTTAAATTTGTTTATACAGGGTTTTCTTTACCCTCTTTGTCCTTTAGTATTTGATCTGTTGATATCTTGTGGTTATTTGGATTCACTTCCACTATCATGCTTTTGTTTTCTGCTGTCTTGCTTTTCATATGTTTAGCCTTGTAAAGGAGCACCTTCCCTCATACCACATATCCTACATTGTGTAAACGTGTAATACGGTTAATTGAGGAAGGTTACATACAGAGAACTAGGAAAATGTAAAACTGTTTCTAAAAGGCCTGGACTCCAAGTTAGGAAGATAACATCTCTTTTGTCTATATCAGAGAGGAAAATTCTATTTCATTATTTTTTTCTGTCAGGAGTCTTCTGCAGACTTGCTGGAGACTATTGAAGATCCCAAGCTATGAATTTTTGTGTTTTCAGCAAACAGAAATGTGTGTGTACACTATTTGCTACAATGTTTCAGAGAAAATACTGTAATTTTTCTCTTGAATGAGGATATATTATTGAAATTAATAACCATTGCAGTACTCAGGGCAGTGTGTTTAGAAGGCACATTGTTTATCCAGGATATATAGTCATGTTGTTTTATTGGAATGAAAATGAATGATGGAAGTATACAACAGTAGACAAAATAGGCTTAGTAGTTGAGTAAAAAGTCTGAGGCCTGGTTCTGATCTTTGATGAATATGTGCTCTTGTGGAACAGGAATTAAGAAAAATTAAGGAGTGTGTAAGCAGAAACTCAGTTGTATGTAAGAAAACCCAATTCCCCCTAAGAAAGAGAAAGAGTTGGAGTCCTTTAAAAATTAACTGCCTGTTTTACTGCGGCCAGTGAGCCTTATCTCTCCTCCTTTCCCAGGCATTGTGAAAACCCTGATTCCCTAGCTGTGCAGCTGCAAGGTCACTAGACAGATAAACTCAAGTCGCAAAACATGTTTTTCCTTGAAAAGTAAGAAATGATGTAATGCATGTCACGATTAATTAAATAACTGTCTTTGTTTCTCGCTTCTGTAATATGCTTCCCCCTGCACAGATCTGCCCCCGCCCCCATGAAATGCTTAAAAGGTAACAACTTGTTGTTCAGGGCTCGGTCCTTTGGATGTTAACCTGACTGGGCCGGTGCACCTAAATAATTAATAAATATCCTTCTGAACCCCATCTGTCTCTCTGATTCCTTAAAAATATCCTGCAACATTGGAAACTTCACTTTTTGACTTTTCATATATACATATATGTAAGGAAGATAATCACAACTATCTCATTTTAATATCATTAATTAATGTATAAAGTCTCTAGGGTTATGCCTCAAACTTAGCAGTTAATTTTGTTTTTGTCTCTTCACTTTAGCACTGCATTATTCTAACATTTTATATTTAAATACATTTACAATGTGATAGTTCAGTCATTTTCACTAGGGATTAAGAAAGAAAATTTGTCTTTCAGTATGCTTATATGGGCTCTGATGTGACAGCTGCAGCTGAGAAAGTTGTCCATATCTTTGGTCTTATCAACACTGTAAGTATTTATCTTCAGTATTTAATAACAAACATTTATTTTAATGCAGTAGCACTGTTTATATAAATAGCATTTTCATTTTTATAAAAACTACAGTTGTGCTAACTAGTTTCATCCACCAATGGATTCTTCTCCAAAAAATAGTAAATTGAATATATTAGCATTATGTATGGAGATGTAATGTTATATTTATGGTCACCCAAAACTGTATATCATATAGCTTCTGTTTTCAGATGTTTTCTCAGCTTAAAACAAGTATTACGCTATCTTCTTTGGAGCTCTGGTCAGATGAAAATAAGATTTCAACTAATGGGGTTGCTGATGATGTACTACAAAGGTTTTTATCATGGAAACAAAAATTTATGTCTCAAAAGTCCAATATCGTGGCATATTTATTAATGTAAGCAATTTATTCACACTGATAGGAGGGTTTTCAAATATTTAATATGTTCACTATCAAAATTATACACAAAATTTATTATATGTATAATGCTAAGACACCTTAAAAAGATTTATTAATACTGCATTACCAAAATGCAGAATATAAAAATCTGATAACCATATAATGCACTAATTAAATCATAGTAGGACATTGTTCTTAAAGTGGACCATTTACTTATGGAAATGTAATGAGCTGAAAAATGTAAAGCTTTTGGATAAACATTGTGCCTTAATAATTGTAAAGCTCTTCTTAGTGATAAATAGTTAAAACCATCATTTTATCATTATTTAAAATGTAAACCAATGGGATGCAAAATATGCAAAAATAATGAAATGCAAAAATTTCATATGATGCTGGCTACAACACAAAACATTAAAATAGTAAATCACTGAAATGGATTACTTTATGATCCCTGTGGTTCTTCTGGCATTTCTATGATAATATAATGTATAGCTGTTAAAACACTTGCTGTGTATCTTTGAAGAGTCTTTACGTGGATTTTTTTTTTAATTTTACTAATTTGATTATTTGGGGCCAAAAACACAATCCTAAAGATCTTAAGCAATACGTAATAAATTTGCAAATCTGTGATGTCTACTGTGGAAGCAGAAATAAGGTTTAGGAATTCAGAAGCAAAATTAACAAATGACTAAAATGTGTGAGGATATCGTACTACATCATCTCTCTCTTTTTTGTAATGAATGTACTGCATGTTCTATCTCTCTCTCTCACCTTTAACATTCCTTACAACGTTTAGTATTGGTTTACTATATGAAAATCATGGCAGTAAATAACCCTGACTTTTAGATTTTAGAATTTTATCCAGCCAGTTATGATGACAGCAATAATTAATTTTGCGGAAATTATCTTGCAAAATTGAAACTCTAAACCTGTTATACAACCCTCATTTTACCCCTGCCCCCAATCTCTGATAACAACCAGTTTACTTTCTATTTCTACAAATGTGACAACTTTAGATTATTTATATAAGTAGAATTATGTAGTATTTTTCTTTTTGCAACTGACTTATTTCACTTAACATAATGTCCTTACGGTTTGTTCATGTTGTAGTGTGTGACAAGATTTCATTCCTTTTTAAGGCTGAATAATAGTACATTGTTTGTGTATGTGTGTACTTGTGATTTTATTCATTCACATGTCAATGGACACTTAGGTTGTTTCATAATTTGGCTATTTTGAATAATGCTGAAAACATAGGAGTACAGATAGCTCTTTAAAATCCTGATTTTAATTCTTTTGGATATACACCCAAGAGTGGGATTGACGGATCATATAATAGTTATATCATTAATTTTTGGGGAAATCACCATACTAATTCCATAGCAGTAGCACCATTTTATAATCCCATCAATAGTACGTAATTGTTCACATCTTATACACCACACTTTTATTCCTAGTTCATTTAATATTTTTATTACAAAAGTGTGTGAAATCTTATGAAATGTATTTTCTACAACAATTGAGATGATCACTAGGTTTTTGTCCTTCATTATGCTAAAATAGTGTATCAAATTGTTTTATTTGTATATGTTGAGCCATCATCGCATTCCAGGATTGAATCCCACTTGGTCATGATGCTTAATCCCTTTAACGTGCTACTGACTTCAATTTCGTATTATTTTGTTGGGGAGTTATGCATCAGTGGGTAATGGGGATATTGGGCTCTAGTTTTCTTTTCTTGTTGAGCCTTTGTCTGGCATTGCTATTAAGGTAATGCTGGCCTCATAGAATGAGTTGAGACGTATTTCCTTTTCTTAATTCTTTGAAAGAGTTTGAAAAGAATTGATGTTAAATCTTCTTTACATGTTTCGTAGAAATCTCCACTGTAGAAATCTTATCCTGGGATTTTCTTTATTCAGATTTTGGAATACTATGTCTATTTTTTTACTAGTTCTGTGTCTTTCAGATTTTCTATTTCTTCACGAGGCAATCTTGATAGTTTGTGTGTGTGTAGTAATTTCTACATTTCCTCTAGTTTATCCACTTTTTTGGCATATAGTTGTTCCTAGAATTGTCTTGTAAAATGTTTTTATTTCTGTGGCATCAGTTGTAATACCTCCTATTTCATTTCATATTTTAATTATTTGAGTATTTTCTCTTGTTTCTTAATCTAGCTAAGGGTTTGCCAATTTTGTTGATCTTTTCAAAAAAACAAAATCTTTGTTTCTTGATTTTTTTCTATTTGTTTTCTAGTTTTATTATATTTGTCCCTGCTTTAATCTTTACTATTTCTTTCTTCTGCTTGCTTGGGTTTAATTTAATTTTATTTTATTAGTTCCTTGAAATGTAACATTAGATTATCGATTTTAGATCTTTCTTCTTTTGTAACGTGTGTGTTTAGAGGTATTAACTTCCCTTCTAGTAATGTTTTCACTGGACCCCATAACTTTTGGTATACTGTGTTTTCATTTTAATTTGAGAGAGTATTTTCTACTTTTCCTTGTGATTTCTTTGACTCGCCAATCATATAAGATTGTCTTGTTTGATTTCTATGTATTTCTGGATATACAAGTTTTCCATCTCTCATTGATTTTTAGTTTCTTTTCATTGAAACTGTAAAATATATTTTGCATAATTTGAATATTTTTAAAATTGTTGAGACTTGTTTCATTGTCTAACAGACATGCTGTGCTGTAAATGTTCAATTGCTCTTGACAAGAACATGCATTCTAATGTTGAGTGCAATGTTCTGTAAATATCTGTAAGGTCTAATTGGTTTATACTGTTGTACAAGTTCATTATTTACTTACTCGTCTTCTATCTAGTTATTCTGTCTATTGTTGAAAGTGGAGTATTGAAGTATCCAACTACTATTGTGCTGCCATTGTTTCCTTCAATTATTTAAAAACAATTGCTTCCTATATTTAGAAGCTCTGATATTTGATGTATAAGTACTTATAATTGTTATATCTTCTTGGTGAACTGACACTTTCGTCTGTAACTAGTGTCCTTTTTAGTCTCTTGTAACAGTTTTGGTTTACAGTATATTTTGTCTGATATTAATATAGCTATTTTGACTCTTCTCTGGCTACTATATGCATGAAATATGTTTTACAATCCTTTCCCTTTAGGCTAATGTGTGTCCTTGTATCTAAAGTGATTCTCCTGTAGAGAACATATACTTGGATCTTGTTTTTCATCTGATCAGCTAATCTGTTTTTGTAATGAGAGTTTATTCCATTTACATTTAAATGTATTACTGATAGGAAAGAACCTATCACTGCTATTTTATTGCTTTCTTTATACCTTGTAGATTTTTGGTTCTCTATTAGTGCCTCCCTCTGTGTTTTATTGATTGTTGTGTGTTATATGATTTCAATTCCTTCTCATTTTCTTCTGTATATAATCTCTAGACATTCTCTCTTTGTGGTTATCATTACAATTAGATGAAGTATCTTAATGTCATAACAGTCAATTTTAAACTTGTAACTTCAGTCAAATGCAAACCTCTATTATTTATAGATTCACTTCCATTTTATGTTATTGATATAACACATTATATCTTGACATGTTGTGTACCCATTATATAGATGTCCAGGAGAATTTTTTGTCTTTTAAATTCTATGAAAGAATTAAAAGTAAATTTGTGTCCCAAAATTATGACAATTTTATCACACTTTTACCTTTATCAGAGAACTTTATAATTTTTATATGGCTTTGTGTTGCTCTCTGTTTTCTTTTGTTTTCCAACTTAAAAGCCTCCTTTCTCTAACATTTCTCACACATAAGGTTAGCTGTCAATGAACTCCCTCAACTTTGCTTTATCTGGAAAATTCTTGTTTCTACTTTTACTTTAGGTTCAGGGGGTACATGTGTGGGTTTGCTGCATGGGTAAGTTGCATGTAACTTAGACTTGATGTACAAATTGGCCTATCACCAAACTGTGACTACAGTACCCAATATGTAGCCTTACAACCCACAGGCCCTTCCCACCCTTCCTCCTCAAGCATTTCCCAGAGTCTGTCTTTCCCATGTTTGTGTCCATGTGCATTCAATGTTCAGCTCCCACTTCTAAGGGAAAATGTGCATATTTGTTTTTCTGTTCCTACATTGGTCCATTTATGACAATGTCTTCCAGCTGTATCCATGGTGCTGTAAAAGACATTATTTCATTTTTTATGGCTATGTAGTATTTCATGGTGAATATGTACCACATTTTCTTTATCCAATCCACTATTGATGGACACCTTGGTTGATTCCATGTCTTTGCTACTGTAAATAGTCCTGCGATGAACATATGGGTGCATGTGTCTTTTGGGTAGAATGATTTATTTTCCTTCGGGTATATACCAAATAGTGAGATTGCTGGGTTGAATGGTAGTTCTAAGTTCTATGAGAAAACTCCACAGTGCTTTCCACAGTGTCTGAGCTAAATTAAATCCCAAGCAGCAGCATATAAGGGTTCCCTTTTCTCCACAGCCTTGCCAGCATCTGTGGTTTTTTTAGTTTTTAATAATGGCTATTCTACTGGTATAAAATGGTATCTCATTGTGGTTTTGATATGTATTTCTCTGATGATTGGTGATGTTGAGCATTTTTTCATATGCTTTTAGGCTGTGCATATTTCTTCTTTTGAGAAGTGTGTTAATGTCCTTTGCCCAATTTTTAATGTGGTTATTTATTTTTGCTTGTTCATTTGTTTAAGTTCCTTATAGATTCTGAATATTAAATCTTTGTTGGAGGCAGTTTGTGAACATTTTTTCCATTCTGTAGGCAGTCTACTTAATCTGTTAGTTTCTTTTGCTGTGCAGGAACTCTTTGGTTTAATTAGGTCCAACTTGTCAATTTGTGTTTTGTTGTGAATTCCTTTTGGGGATTTAGTCATAAAATGTTTACCAAGGCTAATGTTCAGAATGATATTTCCTGAGTTTTCTTCTAAAGTTTTTATTGTTTTAGGTTTTACATTTAAACGTGATCCGTCTTGAGTTAGTTTTTGTATATTGTGAAAGGAAGATATATGGTTTAAATTATTTGCATATGGCTAGCCAGTTATCCAAGCACCATATTAAGTAGGGAGTCCTGTCTCGTTATTTGTCATTGTCTACTTTGTTGAAGATCAAGTGGCTGTAGGTTTGTGGATTTTTTTCTCAGTTCTCTGTCCTCTTTCTTTGGTGTATGTGTCCTTTTTTTGTATCAGTATCATGCAGTTTTGGTTACTGTAGTCTTGCACTATAGTTTGAAGTCAGTATAGTATGAGGCCTCCAGCTTAGTTGATTTTGCTTAGGCTTACTTTGGCTATTAATGATCTTTTTTGGTTGCATATGAATTTTAGAATAGTTTTTCCTAATTCTGGGAAGAATGGTGTTAGTAGTTTAATAATAGCATTGAATCTGTAAATTTCTTTGGGGAGTATGGCTATTTTAACAATATTGATTCTTCTTATCCAAGAGTATGGAATATTTTCCATTTGTTTGCGTCATCTATGATTTTTTTTCAGCAGTGTTTTGTAATTCTCATTGTAGATATCTTTTACTTTGGTGAACTGTATTCCTAGGAATTTTATTCTTTGTTATTTTAAATGGGACTGAGTTTTTGATTTTGCTCTTAGCTAGAATATCATTGGTGTATACCAATACTACTGGCTTTTGTACATTTATTTTGTATCCCAAAGGTTCACTGAAGTTATTAGTTCTAGAAATCTTCTGGTGGAGTCTATGGTGTTTTCTAGGTACGGAATCATATCTTCTGTGAAGAGAGATAGTTTGACTTTCCTTCTTTCTATTTGGATGCCTTTTATTTCCTCCTCTGGCCTGATTGCTTTGGCTAGTACTTCCAATATTGTGTTGGATAGGAGTGGTGAGAGTGGGCATCCTTTTATTGTTCCAGTTGTCAATGCTTCTAGCTTTTGTTCATTCATTATGATGTTGGCAGTGGTTTTCCCATAGATGGCTTTTATTATTTTGAACTATATTTACTCAATGTCTAGCCTGTAGAAGGTCTTTATCGTGAGGGAATTCTGGATTTTATGGAGGGATTTTCTGCATCTATTGAGATGATCATGTGGTTTTTGTTGTTAGTCTTATGTGATGAATTACATTTATTGATTCATGTATGTGGAACTAACTTTGCTTTCCAGGAGTAAAGGCTGTATGATTGTGGTTAATTAACCTTCTGATGTGCTCCTGGATTTAGTTTGCTAGTATTTTCTTGAGGATTTTTGTGTCTATGTTCATTGGGGTTATTGCCCTGAAGTTTCCTCTTTTTGTTTTGTCTCTACCAGGCTTTAGTATTAGAATGATGCTGGCTTCACAGAATGAGTTAGAGAGGATTCCTTTTTCCTTGATTTATTGGAATAATTTCAGTCAGATTGGTACTTGCTCTTCTTTGTATGGTTGGTAACATTAGGCTGTGAATGCGTCTTGTCCAGGGCTTTTTTTGGTTGGGACGTGTATTAGTCTGTTCTCATGCTGCTAATAAAAACATACCTGAGACTCTGAGACTGGGTAATTTGTAGAGGAAAAAGCTTTAATTGACTCACAGTTCCATATGGCTGGGGAGGTCTCACAATTATGGCAGAAGACAAATTAGGAGCAAAGTCATGTCTTACATGGCAGTAAGCAAGAGAAAGTGTGTAGGGGAATTTCCCTTTATAAAACCAACAGATCTTGTGAGACTTACTCACTATCATGGGAACTGCATGAGAAAGACCTGCCCCCCATAATTCAATTACCTCCTACCACGTCCCTCCCACAACATGTGGGAATTATGGGAGCTACAATTCAAGATGAGATTTGGGTGGGAACATAGCTAAACCATATCGTTCCACCCTGGTCCCTCCCAAATCTCATATCCTCATATTTCTAAACCCATCATGTCTTCCCAACAGTCCCCCAAAGTCTTAACTCATTTCAGCATTAACTCAAAATTCCACAGTCCAAACTCATCTGAGACAAGACAAGTCCCTTCAACCTATGAGCCTGTAAAATCAAAAGCAAGTTAGTTACTTCCTAACTCTGGAATGGAAAACCAAACATTGTATGTTCTCACTGATATGTGGGAGCTAAGCTTATGAGGATGCAAAGGCATGAGAATAATGCAATGGACTTTAAGACTTGGGGGGAAGAATGGGAGGGGACTGAGAGATAAAAGACTACAAATAGGGTGCAATGTATAGTGTGATGAGTATACATACAGGGTGATGAGTGCACCAAAATCTTACAAAGCAACAGTAAAGAAATTACTCATGTAACCACATACCACCTGTACCTCAATAACCTATGGATAAATAAAAAATAAATGTAAAAAGCAAGTTAGTTATTTCCTAGATACAGTGGGGGTACAGGCATTGGGTAAATACAACCATTCCAAATGGGAGAAATTGGCCAAAATGAAGGGGTACAAGCCCCATGCAAGTCTGAAATCCAGCAGGGCAGTCAAATCTTAAAGCTCCAAAATGATCTCCTTTGAATCCATATCTCACATCGAGGTCATGGTGATGCACGAGGTGAGTTCCCATGGTCTTGAGCAGCTCCACCCCTGTGGCTTTGCAGGGTACAGCCCCCATCTTGGCTGCTTTCACAGGCTGGTGTTGAGTGTCTGCCACTTTTCTAGGTGCATGGTGTAAGCTGTCAGTGGATCTGCCATTCTGGGGTCTGGAGGATGGTGGCTCTCTTCTCAAAGCTCCACTAGGTAGTGCCCAAGGTGGGACTCTGTGTAGGGGCTCACACCCCACATTTTCCTTTCACATTGCCCTAGTAGAGGTTCTCCATAAGAGCTCTGCCCCTGCAGCACACCTCTGCCTGGACATTCAGGCATTTCCATACATCCTGTGAAATCTAGGCAGAGGTTCCCTAACCTCAATTCTTGACTTCTGTGTACTCACAAGCCCAATACCACATGTAAACCACCAAGGCTTGGGGCTTGCCCGCTCTGAAGCAGTGGCCTGAACCCTGTGTTGGCCCCTGTTAGCCTTTGCTGGAGTGGCTGGGACGCAGGGCACCAAGTCCTGAGACTGCACAAAGCAGCAAGGCTCTGGGCCTGGCCCACAAAACCATTTTTTTCTTCCTAGGCCTCCTAGTTTGTGATGGGAGGGGCTGCTGTGAAGACCTCTGACAGTAACTTTTTATTACTGATTCAATTTTGAAATGCATTATTGGTCTGTTCAAGATTTTAATATCTTCCTGGTTCAATTTTGAGTGACTGTGTGTTTCCAGGAAAGTATTTAATGTAGGTTTTCTAGTTTGTCTGTATAGAAA
Source organism: Homo sapiens (assembly GCF_000001405.40). Taxonomy (NCBI): domain Eukaryota; kingdom Metazoa; phylum Chordata; class Mammalia; order Primates; family Hominidae; genus Homo; species Homo sapiens. Next base: position 39,544,939 of record NC_000008.11, read on the forward strand.
TGTTTGTAGTAATGTTTGAGGATTTTTTTGTATTTCTGTGGTTTGGGTTGTAATGTCACCTTTGTCATTTCTGATTGTGCTTATTTGGATCCTCTCTCTTTTGTTCTTAATTAATATCGGTAGCAGTCTATCAATCTTGTTTAATTTTTGAAGAACCAACTTTTTCTTTTGTTTTTTTTTATGGATTTTTCCAACTCAATTTCATTCAGTTCAGGTCTGATTTTGCTTATTTATTTTCTGCTGCTAGCTTTGCAGTTGGTATGCTCTTGTTTCTCAAGTTTCTCTGGGTACAATGTTAGGCTGTTAATTTGAGAACTTTCTAACTTCTTGATGTAGGTTAGGTGTTTAGTGCTATAAACATTCTGCTCATGTGCTTTAGCTGTGTCCCAAAGATTCAGATATGTTGTGTCTCTATTTTCATTAGTTTCAAAGAATTTTTTGATTTCTGATTAATTTCACTGTTTACACAAAAGTCGTTCAGGAGCAGATTGTTTAACTTCCATGTAATTGTATAGTTGTAATAGATCTTTTTGATATTAATTTCTATGTTTATTTTGCTGTGGCTCAAGAGCGTGGTTGATATGAATTATTATTTTTCTTAGTTTGTTGAGACTTGTTTTATGGTTGAGCATATAGTTGATCTTAGTGTATGTGCCATGTACAGATAATAAGAATCTATATTCTGTTGTTTGTGGTGGAGTGTTCTGTAGATATCTATTAAGTCCAGTTGGCCAACTGTCAAGTTTAAGTCCAGAATATCTTTTTTAGTTTTCTTCCTTGATGACCTGTCTAATGCTGAAGTCCCACAGTAATACTATGTCATTGTCTAGATCCCTTCATAGTTCTCTAAGAACTTGTTTTATGGATCTGGATAGTCTAGTTTTGGGTTTGTATATATTTAGGATAGTTAAGTTTTCTTTATGGATTGAGCTATTTTATCATTATGTAATGCCATTTTTTGTCCTTTGTGATTATATTGTTTTAAAGAAGTCTGCTTTATCTGATATAAGAGTAGCAACTCCCGCTTTTCTTGTTTTCCATTTGCCTGGTAGATCTTTCTCCATCCCTTTACTTTGAGCCTATGCGTATTATTACTTATGAGATAGGTCTCTTGAAGTCAGCAGACAGTTGCAGCCTCCTTTTTTATCTAACTTGCCACTCTATGTTCTTTAAGTGGAGCATTTAGCCCATTTACATTCAGGCTCAATATTGATATTGAGGATTTGGTTCTATCATTGTCTTGTTATGTAGACTTGATTGTATAGCTGCTTTACAGTGTCAATGTAGTACATGCTTAAGTATATTTCTGTGGTGGCAGGTATTGTTCTTTCTTTTCCATTTTTAGCACTCCCTTCAGGATCTCTTGTAAAGCAGGTCTAGTGGTAACAAATTTCCTTAGCATTTGCTTGTCTGAGAAGAATTTCACTTCTCCTTCACGTATCAAGCTTAGTTTGGTGGAATATGAAATTCTTGGTTGGAATTTATTTTCTTTAAAGGTATTGAAAATAGGTCCCCAGTCTCTTGTGGCTTGTAAATTTCTGCTGAAACATCCGTGGTTGGCCTGATGGTCTTCCCTTTGTAAGTGACCTGGTCCTTTTCTAGCTGCATTTAAGATATTTTCTTTCATGTTGACCTTGCAGAATCTAATGACTATGTGTCTTGGGGATGGTCATCTTGCATAATATGTCACAGGGGTTCTCTGAATTTCTTGAATTTGCATGTCAACTTATCTAATGAGATTTGGGAAAAATTTGTGAACTATATTCTTAAATATGAGTTCTAAGTTGCTTTTCTCTCACCTCTTTCAGGAACGCTATCAAATCATACATTTGGTATCTTGACATAATCCCATATTTCACAGAGGTTTTATTCATTTATTAATATTCTTCATTCTTCATTTTTATCTGCCTGTGTTACTTTAAAGGAATTGTCTTCAAGCTCTGAGATTCTTTCCTCATCTTGGTTTATTCTGTTGTTAATTCTTCCAATTGTATTTTGAAATTTCTATAGTAAATTTTTTATTTCCAGTCTTTCAACTTTTAAATCATTTTGCTGTTTTCTTTTGGATTGGATTTCAACTTTTTCTTGAGCTTCCTTGTCATTCAGATTCTGAGTCTGACATTTCAGCCATTTCAGTTTGGTTAAGAGAAAACACTCTGGCATTTAAGATTGCCAGTTCTTTCGCTGGATCTTTCTAATCTATGAGGGCTGATGATCCTTTATCCTGTGAGGTAACTGTCCTTTGGATGGCACTTTTTGTTCTTATGATCTATAATGCCATTGAAAATTAGACTGTGGTACAAGTTGGATGTAATTGAATGGCTTCATTTCTGGATGCTTTCAGAGGTCCATGGCTCAACTCCACAATTCTGGGCTGCATGATCTAACTCTGGGTGGCTGGGACTGGGTCCACAGCTTTGTCCTCTGGTTTCTCAAGGTCAAGCACCAGCTGGGCTGGAGAAACCAGACTGCTTCCATACCACTGGTAACAATATTGTTTAGGGTACTGCATGGGGGCCGCAGGCATTAGTGCTCTGGAGGAAGTGACAGGGTTGCTTCAGGCTGGAGGTTCTCTGGTGAAGGGAAGTGGGAGCACTGCAGGCAGGAGGTGCTCTAGCAGGGGCACCACAGATGAGTGATGCTTCAGTGGAGGTGGGGGGCATTGCAGGTGGGAGGCACTTTGGTGGGTCACCTGGAGTGCTGTGGCCTAATGCGCTTTGAAGAGGTGGCAGTGGCATTGCATGCAATCACATTCCAGCAGAAAGCTGTCAGCCAAAAAGCTCCAGTGGCTGTCCCATTGTGCTGATGAAAGCACTATGGCAGTGGCCACCTGGAAAAGCATTCTGATAGGATTTCTGTGGCTGCACTGCATGCAGTCATGGCCAGGCAGGAACTCTGGGAAGGGTTGGTGGACAGTGATGTGAGCAGATCAGACTTGCTCCTGTGCCCTGGCAAAGACAGCTTTGCCCTCTCAAGGTCTGTCAGCTTCCACAGCTCAGACCCACCCCTTCCTTAGGAGTCATCCAGGGCTGAAATACATGCTGGCATGCAGCAACCCCATGCACGGTTACCAGCTTCCTACTTAAACTGTTGAGAGTTTTTATCAAGAAAGGGCATGGCATTTTGTCAAATTCTCTTCCTGCATCTGTTGAGATAATAATGTGATTTTATCTTTTGTTCTGTAAATGTGATGTATAACATTGATTTGTATACGTTAAACTAGCTTTTCATGTCAGAGATATGTGCCTCTTGGACATCGTGTAGAATTCCTTTTATCTGTTGTTGAATTCAGTTTCCTAATAATTTATCATGGCTTTTTGCATCAGTGTTCATCAGACATATTGGTCTTTAGCTTTGTTTTCCTGTGGCATTTTTGCTTGGATTTGGAATGTGTTTGTAAATATTCCCTCCAGTTGTATTTTTTGGAAAAGTTTAAAATCGAAGTGCATTAATTCTTCTTTGAATGGTTGGCAGAATTCTGCCATAAAGCCATCCAGCCTTGAGCTTTCTTTTCTGGGAGGTTTTAAATTACCATTTTAATCTATTTGTTATTGATCAAGTAAGGCTTTCTATTTATTTATGATTCAATCTTAGTAGGTTGTATTTTTCTAGGAATTCATTCATTTCTTCTGGGTTATCCAGTTTTTTGGCATACAATTTTTATAATAGCTCCTTAGAGTACTTTTGTAGTTCAGAGACATCCTTTGTACTGTCTCCACTAATATTTCAGCTATTTGTTTGTTGATTTTTTTAATGTTTTTAAGTTCTGCATGTGAATATTTCTGTTCTGATCTTTATTATTTCCTTTTTTATACTAAACTTGGGTTTTGTTTGTTCTTTTTTCTAGTTTCCTGAGTCATAATGTTATGCTATTTATTTGAGATCTTTCCTTTTTTAATGCAGAGAGTTGTTGCTATAAATTTGCATGTTAAATCTGCTTTTACTACATCTCCCATGTTTTGGTATTTTGGGGTTTTTTGTCATTTTTCTCAAGATAATTGTTAGTTTTCCTTTTAATTTATTCTTTGTCCCATTAGCTTTCATTTAATTTTCACATATTTGTGTATTTTTAATGATTCCTACTTTTGACAAACTGTACTTTTATACTGTTATGGATAGGAATAATACTTGATATGATTAGAATCTTTTTATATTTGTTAAAATTTGTTTTGTAACCTAACATATGGTCTGTACTGGAGAATGTGCCATGTGAGCTAGAAAATAATGCGTATTCTGCTACTGTTGAACAGAATGTTCTATGTATTTCTGTTAGGTCTATTTGTTCTAAAGTGCTGTTCAAATCAAATATTTCTTCATTACTTTTCTGCCTGAATGTCCTATTCATTCTTAAAAATGGGATATTTAATTGTCCTTACTATTATTGTATTGTTATTTATCTCTCCCTTCATTGCATTAATTCTTACTTTATACTTTCAGTTGTTTCAGTGTTAAGTGTTTATATGTTTATAATTATTATGTCCTCTTGAGGTATTGATCTTTTTATTACATAATGATATCCTTTGTATCTAGTGACAGTTTTTGACTTGAAATCTATATTTTAATGATACAAGTACGGCCATGTCTGCTGTCTTTTGTTTACCATTTTCATGGGGTATATTTTTCCATCCCTTCACTTTCAGCCAGTGTGTGTCCTTATAAATGAAGTAAGTCTCTTGTAGGCAGCATATAGTGAGGTCTGGTTTGTAATACATTTGTCCATTTTATGTCTTTTGTTAAAAAATTTAATCCATTTATATTTCAAATATTGACAGGTAAGAACTTATTACTGCCACTTTGCAAATGGTTTTCTGATTTATTGTAGATCCTTTGTTTCTTCCTCTCTTATTCCCATCCTTTGTAATTAGTCAATTTTCTCTTGCTGCTTGTATGATTCTTTCTTTGCCTTTCACTTTTTTTTTTTTTTTTTTTTTTTTTGAGACGGAGTCTCGCTCTGTCGCCCAGGCCGGACTGCGGACTGCAGTGGCGCAATCTCGGCTCACTGCAAGCTCTGCTTCCCAGGTTCACGCCATTCTCCTGCCTCAGCCTCCCGAGTAGCTGGGACTACAGGCACCCGCCACCACACCCGGCTAATTTTTTGTATTTTTAGTAGAGATGGGGTTTCACCTTGTTAGCCAGGATGGTCTCGATCTCCTGACCTCATGATCCACCCGCCTCGGCCTCCCAAAGTGCTGGGATTACAGGCGTGAGCCACCGCGCCCGGCCTGCCTTTCACTTTTGACAGGTTGATTATAATGTGTCTCCATGAATACCTCTTTGAGCTTTTCCTAAAGTTGTTAATCTTGAAAATCGATGTCCATTTTCTTCCTCTTCTTCAAATTAAGTTTCCCCTTCTTTCTCTTTTCCTTTTGAAACACCCATTGGTAAGGTTTCATAAGATGATAGACAATCTTCATTTTCTCATTTTTTCTACTTCCATGACTCAGTTATTTTAAATAACCTGTCTTCAAGTTCACTGATTCTTTTACCTGATCAAGTGTGCTTTTAGCCTATTTAATAAATGTTTCAGTTTATTTATTATGTTTAAGCATGGAATCCTGGTGGTTTATTTTTAAAATTTCTATTTTCTTGTTGATATATATATATACAATTTCTTCTAGGTTGTAAAGCTGGTTCATCATTTGTAAATCAATTAATGTAACATGTCTTGTCAATAGGCTAAAGAAGAAAAGACATGATTTTATCAATAGAAGGAGAAAAATTTTTACCGAATTTAAGCCAAATTATGATAAAACTTTTTAGAAAACTAAGAATATAAGAAAACTTTCTGAATTTGAGAAAGAATATCTACAAAAATACAGCTAATATTAGACTTAATGGTAAGAAACAAAATGATTTATTACGAAGATAAAGAACAAGGCAAGAATGTAGCTATGAGCCATCATGTTTGCAGTTCAAAATGCAAACCACACCAAATGTATTGTTGATGGGAATGCAAAATGATACAGTCACGTTGGACAGTTTGACAGTTTCTCAACTTACTCTTCCTGGATGATCCAACAATTGTCCTTGGTACATATCCAAATGAGTTGAAAACATATTCACACAAAAACATGCACATGAATGTTCATGCACATGAGCTGTTGAGAAATTTTCATGCTCAGCAAATATATATCCAAATGAGTTGAAATCATATCCACACAAAAACATACACATGAATATTTATTGCAGCCTTATTAATAATTAACACAAATTGGAAGTAAGCAATATGCCCTTTGATAGGCAAATGAATACATACTGTTAGTTACATAGACATAATGGGGCATTATTTGGTGATTTAAAAAGTGAGACATTAGGTCACAAAAAGATATGACAGACGTTTAAATGCTACTGTTAAGTTAAGCCATCTGAAAAGATTACATATTGTACTATTCCAACTATGTCACATTTTAGAAAATGTAAAACTATGGAAAACCCACTGGTTTCCAGGGATTTATGTCTTACTGACCTAGTTCCCTCTAACATTTTACTTTTTTAGACCAAATAAATGCTACTAACAAGATATACTATTATGTTTTTAGAAAAAAAGTAATAAAAAGTAATTTGACTATCCTAAAACTGTTTCTGAAGTCAAAACTTATTGACAATCCAAACCTTCAAAATCTGTGTATATTTTCCAAGTGTTCACTTGAAAATTAATATAGTCATAAAAATATGCTTCTACTTTTCAAAACGTTTTTCAAATTTATTAGAATTTAATTTCAAGTGTCATAAAACATATTGTGGCATTAATCTTATTTTATTATGACAATACTATTTAGATTAAAAATGCTACTATTCAAAAAATTAACATATTTTTGTTTTTTATTTCTAAGAAAGTAATTAGCTTTGGTATACCAGTTTCTTAAATTTGTATTTGCATATGGTAGTATGGCCAGAATTGCTTGACAAGATCAATGAGGTAAGTCAATTTTGATGTTTTTCTTTGTTTCTTTTTTTAGTATTCAAAGACAGTAACTTTAGAGGGATTTTCAGTTGTTATGACACAGTTGCTTGGAATTAATCTGGGATTGACATATGATGACATCTACAACTGTAACTGTCCAGGAGCTACATGCGTAATGAATTCTAAGGCAATGTAAGGTTTTTTTTTTTAATCAAATATATGTCTTCTCTTGGAAAATGTAGGCATTATTCCTTGATGTGTGATTTTTGCATTGTAACTTGAGTAAGAATGTTATTAAATATATATGTGCTTATTTAAGACTTTACAAGTTTGACTATGGGATTTTGTAGAAACCATGTTTAATAGTATTGCATTCAACATTATAGTATATATAGAGAGCAGATGTTGATGATTGTATACTTGGGTTTACTAAAGTTTATTGGAGCTGTTGAAAAATTTTTCAAGCCCAGCAAGTAAAACGGTTATTGGCTAGCAAGAAGCTTGAAAAGCTTAATAGACCTGGAATAAGGAGATTGCAGTAGGTAAAATGTTTTTAAAAAGTAGAAAGGCTGGCACTGTAAATAGGAATATTCTAGACATAGTGAAAATAAAGTGAAATACCATCAGGCCGAATAACTTTGAGTCAGGGGAAGAAACCCAGGGGTTAATATAAGAAATGAAGGAAAGCACCTGATCATGCAATCATGATACAGGGATTTGAATTTCATTTTACACACATGCACACACACACACATAAACACACACACATACATTTTAATCAATTTATTCAGTATGGGTAATAAAAAATATCTCATAAAATCAATGTAAAATAAATCAAAGGGAAAAACAATAATAATATTTGGGAGGTGGTAATTTTCATAATAATCTATAGTGGTTTATAATGATTTAGATAAAGGGAGATGCCAAGAATTATCCATAGGTTTTCATATATTATAACTTATTAACAAATATTTTAAGAGGTCATTAATTTAGGAAACGAGAATAGTGAGGGTAAATCTTGACGACGTTTTATATACATTGTATCTGGGGTATTTTAAGTAATTCACTGGAGCTGTTAACACAGAATGAGTTATATAGTTCCAGATCTCAGAGAACAAGCGATATAAAATGTACAAGCCATCAGTATATGAGTAACAATTAAAACCACAGACAGATCATTTAGAAAGAAGTTATCAAGTTAAAAGAGGTATCTTAGAGAAAGCTTTGAAAATTGCTTATATTTATAGGCTAAAAATTGAGGGAAAGTCAGTAATATGAAGGATCAGAAAGAAAGAAAATATTAGGACAACAACCATGTTAAGGTGTAATTTTACCTAGAGTGGAATCAGATCACAAGTTCAGGAGATCGAGACCATCCTGGCTAACGTGGTGAAACCCCATCTCTACTAAAAATACAAAAAATTAACCAGGCATGGTGGTGGGCACTTGTGGTCCCAGCTACTCGGGAGGCTGAGGCAGGAGAATGGCGTGAACCCAGGAGGCAAAGCTTGCAATGAGCCGAGATTGCACCACTGCACTCCAGCCTGGGCATCAGAGCAAGACTCCATCTCAAAAAAAAAAAAAAAAAAAAAAAAAAGAATAAAGGAAGGGTTGGGAGCCAAGTGGTAAAAACATCAGGATGTAGTTTAGTGTCTCCAAATTATCTTATAAAATAGAAAGAAAAACTATAAAAACATATGTATATACATACAAACACATAGAGACACACAGACACACAAAAGCATATGCAAGTTCCCCAAAACCAGAACACACAGAATACCAGCAGGTGGGGCCAATCAACTGCCAAAATAAAACCTGCATTTAATAAGTAGTGGTGTGGGAGGAAATGGAATACAATGGGGACCTAAAAATCATACAGACTGGGAACTCAGAAATTTTGGACTAATAAAAACCTCAAAAATTTTTTGTTCCCATGAAGAATGTTTATTTGTAAGTTCATAGCATTATAGGAGCTGAAATTGGTGGAGATTTTGCAAATTGTGGGTGAGAGGAAAAGAGCTATTAACATTACTTAAGATGCTGATATGGTCTCGATCTCTGTCCAGAAAAAATCTGGTAAAAATGAGCAAATGTCTCATCCAGATTACACTTTTTCAATATTATTTTCCACTAAAAGAAATATGGATATCTTGAAGAAATGACTGGTTCCAAGGCTCAGGCAGAGAAAATTAAAAATTAGCCTGGAATGCCTTCTATAAAAAATAAGGAGATTCACAAAGTATCATGGAGATAACACAAAGGCCAGTTAGAAAGGGCTCCAACAGGCCAAAACTGGGACAATTCGAATGTCAAAGATTATAATGGTACTAATGGATTACAACCCATTGAGTAAAATATGAAAACATGATTCCAAACTGATATAAATACATTAATGTATTTAAAATATAATTAGAAATGGATTGTTTACATAAAACCAAAGGGTTTCTCTCCAAGGAATTATCAACAGACAAAGGAAAAAAAAGTAATTTTCCAGGGAATACTGGCATGGACACCTTAATCAACTGATCAAAGTGACTATTCTCAGTAATATAACAAATCGAGATTGTTCACAACTTTTTGTATTGCAATGAAACAAACAAAGCAACACTGCTATAATAATATTGTAAAGATGCATAACCTCAGTCTAATCATAAAAATATATTTTATAAACCTAAATTAAGGTAATTTCTACCCCAAAATTGGCCTGTAATCATCAAACTTATCAAAATCATGAAAATCAATCAAAAAAAAAATCTTAGGAATGTAAGGTAAGGAGATGTGAGAACTAAACGTGATGTTTGATTCTGAACTGCATCATTTTGCTACAAAATGCCAATATTGTGATGTATATAAATGTTTGTACCACACCATTATTTCCTGATTTTGAAGGGTCTGCTGTGCCTATGTAGGAAAATTCAAATTTATGTAAGATCTATATATTAAAATATTGACATAGTTTGCACCTGTGTCCCAACCCAAATCTCATATTGAAATGTAATCCCCCAATGTTGGAGGTGGAGCCTTGTGGGAGGTGATTGGATCATGGGGGCATATTTTTCATGAATGGTTTAGCACTATTCTCCTTGGTACAGTTCTAACACTAGGGAGTGTGTTCTCATGAGATCTGGTCATTTAAAAGTATGTAGCACCCCACCCCTTGCTCTCTTGCTCCTGCTTTCACCATGTGATGTGACTGCTTCCCCTTTGCCTTCCGCCATAATTGGAAGCATCCTGAAGTCTCCCCAGAAACAGATACTGCTATGCTTCCTGTACCGCCTGCAGAACCATGAGCCTATTAAACCTATTTTCTTATGAATTACCCAGTCTCAGGTATTTTTTTATAGCAATTCAAGAATGGCCAAATACAGAAAATTGGTACCAGAGGTGAGGTATTGCTGTAAAGATACCTGAAAATGTTGACGTGACTTTGGAATTGAGTAACAAGTAAAGGCTGGAAGAGTTTGGAGGACTATGAAAAATACAGGAATATGAGGGAAAGTTTGGAACTTCATTTAGAGACTGATTAAATGCTTGTGGCCAAAATGCTGATAGTGATATGGACAATGAAGTCTAGACTGAGGTGGTCTCAGATGGAAATGAGGAACTTATTGGGACCTGGATCAATTGTCACAAATTTTATGCCTCATCAAAGAGCTTGGCTGCATTCTGTTCATGTCTTAGGGATCTGTGGAAGTTGAATTAAAGAGTGATGATTTATAATAACTGGTAGAAGAAATTTCTAGGAAGCAGTATTTAAGTTTGGCTTGGCTGCTTCTAACAGCCTATGTTCATACACAAGAGAAAAGAAATGACTTAAAGCTGGAACCTTATTTAAAAGAAAAGCAGAGCATCAAAGTTTGGAAAATTTACAGCCTAACCAGGAGAAAAATTCAAGGAGGCTTCTGAGTAACCCAAAGTGTAAGACAGGAAGTTTTTATTGCTCTCTTTTACTATTGATCGTAAGTACAAAAAACTTTCTGTTTTTCTTTTCTGTCTACTCTCTAACAGGCCAGTTTCAATAAAGCTTGTATTAAATTTAAGGATTTGATGCAATTTTTAAAAATACATTTCCTGCTTACTAATAGACACAACCCTAAGTTCAAAGATAAAAAAGAAACAGCTGCTTTGTTGAAACAGCTGCTTTGCTAACACATAACAGTGATTAACATGTTTGTAATCATTATTAAGATATTCCTCTTCGTAATGTCTAAAAAAATATGATTGGTACTAGATAATATTGGTAATGTATTGGTCAGTTTGTCTTGATAATGAATGGCCATAAAAGGAAAACACTGCAGAAGATCAGGTGGAAGATGGGGCTAGCCTCCTGCTAAGTGAATCTTTGTTTCAAATAGTAACAAGATTTTTGATCTATGTATCTCTTGGGTATCTTTGCATTCTGGCTGACAATTCTAACAAGCTTTCATATATGATAGCAATAGGTCATTTTAGCTCTTTGCTTTTTTAGTCCACAGTGTGCAATATTTCAGAAGAGTAGAGAGAGCTTCTCCCTTCCAACATTCATTTCAATACTTGGTAGTGGAGGAAAACATGACTGATCTTGTGAAACTGAATTTCCCATCACTGTACTATCACTGTATCTGAGGGTGAGTGTTCAGATTATTACCCTGTGTCAGAAGCAGATTCATGAGATTTATAACCCCCTCATAGTGGAGGTGGAACAGATCTTGAAAAGAAAATTACTTGAACTGCAAAATGAAAAAGATGTCTATCAGACATTTTATTTTCATTAAGCATAAATACTTTCTAGTTTTTTTTGAAGAAAAAAGATATTTTGAAGAAAATAGGATGCATTTTAACTATGAGTGCTTTCACTAGAAATTTTTTTAAATTGGAGTGAAATTCACAAATCATAAAATTGACCATTTTCAAGTGGCCAACTCAGTGGCATTTAGTACATACACAACGTTGTACATCTATCTACTTCCAAAACATGTTCATCAACACAAAAGGAAACCCCTGACCCATTAAGCAGTTGCTCACATTCTCCCTTCCCCTCAGACCCTGGAAACCGCCCCTCTGTGTTGTCTTAATGGAGTCCCCTATTCTGGATATTTCATATAAGTAGAATTGTACAATAGTTGACCTTTTGCATCTGACTTTCTTCACTTAGCATAGTGTTTTTGAGGTTCATCCTCCTTGCAATATGTATCCATACTCCATTTCTTTTTATTATTTGAAAGTATGCTATTTTATGTATATTTACAAT